>NC_000020.11:217850-369365 GCF_000001405.40 Homo sapiens | reverse complement strand
TTTTTTTTAAGTACAGACAGGGTTTTGCCACATTGCCCAGGTGGGTCTCAAACTCCTACACCCAAGTGATCCTCCTTCCTCGGCCTCCTCAAGCGCTAGGATTACAGGCATGAGCTACCATGCCCAGCCTTGACTTACTTTTAAAATAAAATCATTTAGGGATCTGTACTTGGAATAGACTGAATGAGGCAAGGACAGGAAGACAAGGGAGCAGGTGTTGCAATAATTCTCTTAAACTCCAGTGGCTCAGAGCAGGGCAGTGGCCATGCTAGAGGTGAGCTGTGACTGGATTCTGGGTATATTTTAAAGGTGGAGCCAACAGGATTGCTGATGGTCTAGATGTGGAGTTTGAGGGAAAAGGAGGTGTCAAGGTGCTTCCAAGGTTTCTTGGCCTGAACGGTGACAGGTATGGAACTGCCATCAAATGACATGGAGCGAGGTGTTTGGGGGAAGCCCAGGTTCAGCTTTGGTTCTGTGGAGTCTGTCATGTCTTTTGACATCCTCAAAGAGACATCAGGTAGGTATTTGAATGTATGGGCTGGAGTTCAGGGGAGAGGTCTGGGCTGAGGATACAGTGTTGGGAGTCATAGACGTGAGACTGGATGAGAGCTCCAGGGACCAAGTCCTCACTGCTCCAACAGGAATGGGAGAAGCAGGGAGCCTGAGAAGGAGGAAAACCAGCAGAGAGTGGAGGCCTGGCCACCAAGTGAAAAGAAGTACATCAAAGAGCAGGGAGTGGTCAGCTGTGTCAAACTGTTGATCAGTTAAGAAGATGAAGAATGGGCCGGGTGCGGTGGCTCACACCTGTAATCCCAGCACTTTTGGAGGCCAAGGTGGGCGGATCACGAGGTCAAGAGATTGAGACCATCCTGGCCAACATGGTGAAATGCCGTCTCAACTAAAAATACAAAAATTAGCTGGGTTTGGTGGCTTGTGCCTGTAGTCCCAACTACTCGGGAGGCTGAGGCAGGAGAATCGCTTGAACCCAGGAGGCAGAGGTTGCAGTGGGCCAAGATCGTGCCACTGTATTCCAGCCTGGGTGACAGAGCAAGACTCTGTCTCAAAAAAAAAAAAAAAAAAAGATGAAGAATGAGAACTGAACACATTGGATTTAGCAATGTGTTGAAATTGACAAGAGCAGTTTCAACTAGGGAAGTGACAGGTAGAAGCATGATTAAATGGACTTAAGAGACAAGAGGGCCAGGTGTGGTGGCTCACACCTGCAGTCCCAGCACTTTGGGAGGCTGAGGTGGATGGATCACTTGAGCCTGGGAGTTCAAAACCAGCCTGGGCAACATGGCAAAACCCAGTCTCTACAAAAAATACAAAAATTAGCCAGGCATGGTAGTGCACACCTGTAGTCCCAGCTACTCAGGAGGCTGAGGTGGGAAGATCGTTTGAGCCCAGGAGGTTGAGGCTGCAGTGAGCCATGATCACGCCACTGCACTCCAGCTTGGGTGAGAGAGCAGATCCTGTCTCAGAGGGAGAGAGAGAGAGAAGACTAATTAAAAACAGCGAGGATAGACAATTTTCTCAAAGCCCTTTTCTGCAAAGGGGAGAAAAAATAGGGTGGTAGCTGTGGGGAGGGCTTAGGATTGAGTGAAGGCGGTTGTCTTAAAGACCCACCCATGAATCTATTCGATCCCATGGGCCGTGTACCTGACCCTCCTTACCGCGCATCTGACCCACCGTCTGTTCCTCATCCGTAAGCTGAGTCTGTTCAGAACTCCTATAGGGTACCAACTCCCATGCCAGACCCTGGGGTGGGCATGGAGGGCAAGAAATGGATGAACCCAAACTCTGGCCTGGAGTAGGTAACTCAGTTTAAGTGAACTGAATGAATCACAGAGCAAGAAGACACTGTGCCTGCCCTCCTGCCCCTCCAGCAGGAGAGACAGAATGTCAGTGCTGGGGAGAACTGTCTAGTACAAGTCAGGGGTGGGAGTGTCTTGCCTGAGGTCACACTTAGGGTCAGTGATGGAACCAGGACTCACACATAGGCCTGCTCTCTTGGGAGACAGATTGTCTCTTCCAGGGAGAGTTCCATGGGGACAGAACTTAGCTGAGGGCAAGGAGTGTGTAGGAGGATGGCACTTTTGAGCAGACAGTTGTGGTTTTGTTTGTTTGTTTGTTTTGTTTTTTTGTTTGTTTTTGGAGACGGAGTTTTGCTTCTGTTGCCCAGGCTGGAGTGCAATGGTGCGATCTTGGCTCACTGCAACCTCCGTCTTCCGGGTTCAAGCGATTCTTCTGCCTCAGCCTGCTGAGTAGCTGGGATTACAAGCATGCGCCACCTCTCCCGGCTAATTATTTTGTATTTTTAGTAGAGCCGGGGTTTCTCCATGTTGGTCAGGCTGGTCTCTAACTCTCGACCTCAGGTGATCCACCAGCCTTGGCCTCCCAAAGTGCTGGGATTATAGGCGTGGGCCACCGCACCCGGGGAGCAGATTTTTAGATATTTTATTTTATTCAATATTAATTATTAATTGTATTATATTAATTATATTAATATTTTATTTAAATATTTTAGCTCAAAATTCAAAGGCACAGAAGAGTAATACTTGAGAAGTCTCCCTCCCACTCCTATCCCCAGCTCCTAGTTCATCTTCCTGGGGTCAAGCCATTTTCTCGTGTTTCCTTCAAGACATAAAATATGAGGATTTATTGTCACTTTTTTACACAGATGGGAGCACACTCCATGTCCTTCAGATTGCCTTTTTCCTTCCTATTTAACAATTTATCTTGGGGACTCTTCCGTGTCAGTCCAGAAAGACCTGCCTGGTCAGTTTTTACAGCTTGGTCCTATTCCATGGTTAGGAATGTACTGGTTTATTTAAACCATCCCTTGTCAATGAACAGTTAATTATTTCCAGTCTTTTGCTATAACAAAAAATGCTGCAGTGTTCATACATGGGGGTGTGGAGAGAAGTTCTGAGCTAATTTCCTAGAAGTAGAATTTTTCTTTCTTTCTTTCTTTCTTTTTTGAGACAGAGTTTCGCTCTTGTTGCCCAGGCTGGAGTGCAATGGTGCGATCTCAGCTCACTGCAACCTTGGCCTGGGAGGCAGGGATCACAGGCGTGAGCCACCGCGCCCTGCCCAGAAGCAGAATTTCTAAGTCAAAAGTTTGTGCATTTGCACTTTTAAGAGAGATCTCTGGCTCCTCCTCTATAGAGATTGTTATCAATCTACCTCCTGCCAGCAAAGCATGTGAGTACCTGCTTCCCAGAACTACAACACCAGGTGTTCTCAAAATTTTTGATTTTTACCGAACTGATTTAGAAAAATGTAATCCCAGCCTCCTTTGGGAGGCTGAGGTGGGTGGATCACCTGAGGTTAGGAGTTCGAGACCAGCTTGCCCAACATGGCGAAACCCCATCTCTACTAAAAATACAAAAAAATTAGCTGGGTGTGATGGCGAGCACCTGTAATCCCAGCTACTCGGGAGACTGAGGCAGGAGAATTGCTTGAACCTGGGAGGCGGAGGTTGCAGTGAGCTGAGATCGCTCCACTGCACTCCAGCCTGGGCGACAAGAACTAAACTCCATCTCAAAAAAAAAAAAAAAAAAAAAAGAAAGTATCTTCCTGCAGATTTCATAGGTATTTCTCTTATTCTTTCCACATTTTACAGCCACAAAGGCAGATGTGGAAGGGGAGCTCTCTCACAGTTGGCACCACCCAGGCTGCCCTGGTGGGCAATGAGTGTCCCATCTCTGAGGTGAACCAGGGGAGGTGAGAGGAAGCAAGGCATGTCGGCTGAGTAGGGGCTGTGGTGAGTGTGGAGGCCCTGTGCTTCTGAGAACCGTCTCCACTCCCTCTGCTTCTCTGTTCTCGGTGCTCCCTCACTTCCCCAGAGGGGATGTGCCCATGGGCTCTCACATCTCTATCATCTCCCCCCATCTCCGCACCCCCACAGGCCACCCGAGTTCCCCGTCACCTCCTTATTAAGCCATTTTTCTCTTCCTGCCATTTAATCTTTCTTTGGCCCAGAACTTCTGGAAGGCTGGGCAAAGGTGACATCTGGCCCTTCTACTTGGCCCCACAAGACACTAGAGAAAAATGTTAGTGTCTTAGACTATCATGGCTGGTCCGGCCCTTAGTTGTGTGTCAGCATGCAGAGTGTGTGTGTGCATGCATGTGCATGTGTGCCAGCGTGCACACATTGTTGTGTATGGCAGGGATGCATGTCTCTGAGGCAGCCTGGAGTGAAGGACAAAATGCCTGGGTTCTGAAACCAGAACAGACCTGCAAGGCTTGCTGAGTCATCCAGGACAGACCTGCCAGGTTTGCTGAATCATCCTCCAGCTATGGTCCCTTTCTCCTAGTCCTCGAACCTACCAAGTTCTTCCTGCCCCAGGGCCTTTGCCCTTGCTATGCCATCTGCCTGGAACTTTTCCTGTATCTTTCCAGGCTCTTCCTTCTTCTTCAGGTCTCAGATCAAATATTTGCTCCTCAGAGAGGCCCTCCCTGATCACTCATCAAGCATCATGCCCCACCTAATCCCTGCAGTTTGTCTCTAATCCATAACTCTTCCTTATTTTATTTGTAGCACTTGTCAAGGTTTGAAATTATCCCATTTATGTATTAAATTATCTTTTTTTTTTTTTTGAGGCTGAATCTCGCTCTGTCGCCCAGGCTGGAGTGCAGTGGCTCGATCTCTGCTCACTACAACCTCCACCTTCTAGGTTCAAGTCATTCTTGTGCCTCAGCCTCCCGAGTAGCTGGGATTACAGATGCCTACCTCCACACTTGGCTAATTTTTGTATTTTTTCAGTAGAGACAGGGGTTTCACCATGTTGACCAGGCTGGTCTCAAACTCCTGACCTCAAGTGATCTGCCTGCCTCGGCTTACCAAAGTGCTGGGATTACAGGCGTGAGCCACTGTGCCCCGCCAAACTGTCTTTTGTCTGTCTCTTCTTCCCCATCAGAATGTAAGAACCTTGAGGGCAGAGATGCTGCATCTGCAGGTCTAGCACAGAGCCCAGCACCTACCAGGTGTTCAGTGAATGTTTGTCAAATGAATGAAGGAATGTAAAGTGTTCAGCACAATGCCTGACACAATAAAAAATCAAAATTGCTGGCTCTTGTTGTTATATAAATGTTAGTGACTATTATTGCTATTTATGAGGACTACATGTCACTCAGCAATTCTTAGAGCAGGTAGTTATTTGAGTCCTGTGTAATGGAGTATCATAGGAGAAACGGGGATATAAGACTCAGTGGGTACTGTTGAGGAATAGACAATATAGCTGGGAAGGCAGGAACTCAGGAAAAATAATCATGATGTGTTGAGCTGATCATGCATTGAGTTATTCTAACAAGACTGGAAGTGAGTATAATTACCCTACTTTTAGATTAGAAACTGAGGCTCAGAGAGGGTGATACGCCTAAGGTCACCCAGTGTGTCTCGAAAGCACTTAGCTCAGTGTCTGTGGAAACTCAGTGGCCAATGTGTCATCTGCACGTCTGTCTGGACCGCCCTGGGGCATCTCCAGCCCTTGCGTGTACCTGGGCACACTCCATGCACATGGACACAGGGCGGTGGGCTTTGGGTGCCTGTGCTTCTCACAACTCTGAGGCTCCTGGTGGAGAGGTCCATGCTGAGGAGCACTAGGGGTCTGAGAGGTCTTTACCCCTGGGGTACAGGGTCTGGGCTGAGGATGCCTTTGTCCTGTGACTGGAAGAAGCAGCTTTTGCGTGGGCGTCAGGCATAACATGGGGCAGGCCCAGCTGGCACACAACAGGGGCAGGGGAGGCCTGGGAGGGTGAAGAATCAGGATGCACTGTGCTCTTGAGGACACCACACCTGCATTGGCCAACACCTGGCTGTGTCGGCGCACACATGTGTACACACGGACACACACAGGCACACAAGTATACACACACATCTCTCACAGTCTCTTGCTCCCCTAGGCATGCTGACAACCCCTGCTCACACTGGCTGAGTCACTCTGCATGTCAAGGGCCCTCCCAGTTCCCCAGCCTGACTGGTGTCATTCAAGCTTTTAGCGTTGCAATGACCGGGCTGTGTCCATCCTGCTCACCAGACATCCACAGAGACCCGTCCAGGGCCAGCACAGAGTGAGCACTCAGATTTGTGTAAAAAATAAATTCACAGCTCAGCACGGTGGCTCACACCTGTAATCTCAGCACTGCAGAGGCTGAGGCAGGCAGATCGCTTGAGCCCAGGAGTTTGAGACCAGCCTGGCCGACATAGCGAAACCCCATCTCTACAGAAAATACAAAAATTAGCGGGATGTGGCGGCATGCGCCTGTAGTCCCAGCTATGCTGGGGGCTGAGGTGGGAGAATCCCTTGAGCCTGAGAGGTAGAGGTTGCAGTGAGCTGAGACTGCACTCCAGCCTGGGCAACAGAGCAAGACCCTGTCTCAAAATAAATAAATAAATAAATAAATAAATTCACTCCCTCCCCCATTCCATTCTTCACTTATTTACTTACCCCTTCCTTCCTTCACTCACTCGCTCATTCATTCATTCATTGAGTCAATGGCTCACTTACTCCCTCATTCCTGGCCTCCAGGATGGAAGCAAAGCTGCAGCCCTGCCTCCCCACAAACTCCTCCCCTCACACAGCCTATATCTGCTGAGTGCCCATCAGATGCCAAGTCCTGACAGCTCTTCCCCTGCCACACCTGGTCCATGGACCCTGCCCAGGTGCACACCCTGGTGGACATCCTGTTTATCTCCCTTCTCCCTGCCCTGACCACGTGTCCCGGGCCGGATGCTTATGAAATCCTGTCAGTTCTTCCATCACAGGGGCCCTGCTGGCCTGATGCCCAGAGCTTGGTTTTGAGCCATGTGCTCTGGGACATGGCAAGGCTGGGATTGGAAGCTCACAGCCCTGGTGACACCAAGCCAAGCTGAGACTCAGAGCAAGGCCAGGGTTGCCGGTCCCATCCATGCACATCCATGGAGCACACCTGTGAATGGACTCAACATGAGAATGTGGGCCAGACAAGGCCATGCCATGTCCAAGGTCACAGGGAATGTCAATGAGGGAATCCAGCCATAGCACATCTCTTCACTCATGGATGCATCTGCACAGTGGTGGAGGGAGACACCGTTGCCTAATATTATAGGGCCAGGGTTTGAATCTCAGCCATTTGACTTTGGGCAAGCCACTTCACTTCTCTGAGCTTTATCTTTTTTACTTTTTTTTTTTTTTTTCTTTGAGACAGAGTTTCATTCTGTCACCCAGGCTGGAGTGCAATGGCGTGATCTTGGCTCACTGCAACCTCCACCTCCTGGGTTCAAGCGATTCTCCTGCCTCAGCCTCCTGAGTAGCTGGGATTACAGGTGCATGCCACCACACTCAGCTAATTTTTGTATTATTTTTAGTAGAGACAAGGTTTTACCATGTTGGCCAGGCTGGTCTCCTGAGCTCAGGTGATCCACCTGCCTTGGCCTCCCAAAGCGCTGAGATTACAGGCGTGAGCCACAGCTCCCGGCTGCTTTATCTTTCCTTACATACAGTAGGTGCTCAGTAAATGTAGCTGCTAAAAAATTCAGTAGCAGAGTGAGTGCAAATGCAGCGTGTCAGTGTCTGCAGACCTCCTCGTCATCATTTACATGCCCGCTGATGTGCATCCAGGCATGTAATGTGCTATTCAAGAACTTGGGTGGGTCCCTCCATTTACATTTCACTGCATGTGTCTGTGAGGTCTTCAGAGCTGATTTTTTTTTTTCTCAAAATGCACATCATTCCTGGTGTGGTGTTGTGGAGGATTTTCTGAGCGCTCGTCATAGACAGGAATTGGTGTGTATCTGAATAGACATGGGTGTGCTTGCCTGTGTCTGTGTGGACCTGTGTGAGGGGTTATGAGTATGACCTCCAACCTTATCAGGTTAGTTCATTGGTAGAATCTGTGTGGTCATTTCTGCATCCGGGGCATTCTGGACCTGGATTACTTGGGTTCAAATTTCAGCTCCACTAGCTATGCCATCTCGGACAGGACGCTTAAACACTCCATACTGTTTGCTTTTCTGTGAATTGGAGATAATGGTAACCACCTTATGGTGGTATGAGGACTGCAAGACCTAATGTATGTGATGGACTGAGTACAGAGCCTGGCATGGACAAGCGCTTGTCTCTCACTGCCCCCGTGACTGCCCCGTGATAGGATATTACTTTGTTATTCTATTACAGTACTTACCCAGGTATATTGCCATTTGCTGTCCACAGGACTGTCCTTTCCACTAGACTGTGAGTCCCTATAGGACAGGACCCTGTCTGAGCCATCCATCATTATAGATTATGTGTTGCCTGCTAGTTCTGAACCTCAGACTTCTCTCTTTCATAATAACAGCTGGCATTTAGGGAGCATGTCTACGTGCCAGGTGCTGTGTTAAGTGCATTAAGCTTCATACAATCTCAAGGGATTGGTATCCTTGTTGCTCCTATTTTGGAGATGAAAAAAACTCCTGACACTCAGAACGGTTAAGAAACTCAGGTTCACACAGTGGCTTGAACACTGGCAGACAGATTCACTCTCAGCCTGCACTAGATATAAGTTGTGGGAGGAGATTGTGGGGGCAGGAATGTTGCTGAACAGAAGGAATGCCTGCCTTTCGGACTGCTCCAGCAGGCTCTCTCTCACTCCACCCCCATTAATCCCTCCCCCATCTATATGAATATCACTGTTTTTGGCCGGGTGCGGTGGCACATGCCTGTAATCCCAGCACTTTGGGAGGCCAAGGTGGGAGGATCACCTGAGGTCAGGAGTTTGAGACTAGCCTGACCAACATGGAGAAGCCCTGTGTCTACTAAAAGTACAAAATTAGCCGGGGGGCGTGGTGACACATGCCTGTAATCCCAGCTACTCGGGAGGCTGAGGCAGGAGAATCGCTCGAACCTGGGAGGCGGAGATTGCGGTGAGCCAAGATCGCGCATTGCACTCCAGCCTGGGCAATAAGAGCGAAACTCTGTCTTAGAAAAAAAAAAATCACTGTTCTGTCTCTTACCCTGGGGCATCTCAGCCCCCTGCCCTAGCACAGTGCTCCCAGGGACCAGGCAGTGGCCCCAGATCAATCCTTCTTTGGTCCAGTTGTGGGTGAGTTAGAAGGGCTTCTCTGAGCTAACCTAGTCCCCTGGGCCAGTAGGGATGGGGAGGGCATGCCAGACTCAGCACGAGGGCGGGAGCCTCCAGGGTGGTGTGGGGGTTGGGTGCTCAGACTCTTGGATAGAAGAGGGGTGGAGCAGAAGGTAGACCCCACTGGTCAGCCTCCTCTCCTTCCCAGATCTTCCCACCTCAGAGAGGAGAGGGAATGGTCCTTTCTTAGGTCCTTTTTGGGGTGTGTTAAACCAGATCCCTGTTATTCCATCTTGACCACAGTAATTTTTTTTTTTTTTTTTTTGAGACGGAGTCTCGCTCTGTGGCCCAGGCGGGAGTGCAGTGGCGCAATCTCGGCTCACTGCAAGCTCCGCCTCCCGGGTTCACGCCATTCTCCTGCCTCAGCTACTCGAGCAGCTGGAATTACAGACACATGCCACCACGCCCAGCTAATTTTTGCATTTTTAGTAGAGACAGGGTTTCACCATGTTGGCCAGGCTGATCTCAAACTCCTGACCTCAAGTAATCTGCCCTTCTTGGCCTCCCAAAGTGCTGGGATTACAAGCGTGAGCCACTGTGCCCGGCCAGCAATCGTATTTTTTGCTATTTTGAAATAATTGTAGATTTATTGAAGAGTTACATGGACAGTACAGGGAGATCCTGTGTATCCTTCAGCCACGTCTCCTTAGTCTCCTCCAACCTGAGACCGTTTCTTGTCCTTTCCTTGTCTTTCGTGACCTGGACACATTTGAAGAGTGCTGGTCAGATCTTTTGTAGAATGGGTCTTCTCATGATTAGGCTGACGTTACGGATTTGGGGGAAGAATGCCACTCAGGCCAAGTGCCCTTCTCACCACATCATTTCAGAGGCTGTGATATCAACAAGACTTTTGACTGGTGGTGCCAGCCTTCATTTGGTTAAGGTGGTGTCTGCCAGATTTTTCCACTGTGAAGTCACTGTTTTTGCCTTTCCACATTCTACTTGTTAGAAGCAAGTTGCTGAGTCCAGCCCACACTCAAGAGGAGAAAAATTAAGCTCCATTTCCTAGATGGCAGAGCATCAAAGAACATGTATGCATATGTTAAAACCACCATACTAATTAATACATATTTGGGGATAGATACTTTGAGGCTATGCAAATATTTTGTTTCAAGCCTGGTGGGGTGGTATGTGCCTGTAGTAGCAGCTACTGGGGAGCATGAGGTGGGAGGATCCCATTGAGCCTAGGAGTTCCAGACCAGCCTGGACAATGTAGTAAGATCCCGTTTCTAAAAAAAAAACCTTGTTTCTCCTTAAAGTTTCACCCACTCATTTTATTGTTCATTGGTAGATGTTGCCTGCAGCAATTATTATTCCGGTGTTCTAATGATGATTTTTCAATTTCTCTCAATCCTTCTACATTTACTAATTGGAATTCTTCTGTAAGAAGACTTGTCCTGGCTGGGCACGGTGGCTCACACCTCTAATCCCAGCACTTTGGGAGGCCGAGGCCAGGAGTTGGGAGTTCAAGACCAGCCTGACCAACATGGAGAAACCCCGTCTCTACCTAAAATACAAAATTAGCCAGGTGTGGTGGCGCATGACTATAATCCCAGCCACTCGGGAGGCTGAAGCAGAATTGCTTGAACCCAGGAGGCGGAGGTTGCCGTGAGCCGAGATCACACCATTGCACTCCAGCCTGGGCAACAAGAGTGAAATTCCATCTCAAAAAAAAAAAAAAAAAGAAAAGAAAAGAAAAGAAAAGAAAAAAGACTTGTCCTTCCCCCCAATTTTTTTTTTAAGAGAGACAGGGTTTTGCTTTGTTACTCAGTATTCAGGCTAAAGTGCAGTGGTGTGATCCTCCTGCCTCAGCCTCCCAAATATTAATAGCTGAGACTACAGGCGTGTGCCACCATGCCCAGCTAATTTTTAATTTTTTGTAGAGATGGGGCCTTGCTATGTTGCCCTATGTTGCCCAGGTTGGTCTTGAACTCCTGGCCTCAAGTGATCCTCCTGCGTTGGCCTCCCAAAGTACTGGGATGACAGGCGTGAGCCACTGCACTCAGCCTTACCGTATTTTATTAATAGTCCCCTACCATGAGCATTTAGGTTGTTTCCAAATGCTTTAATTACAAATAATACTATAGTGTTCCAACATGTAGAGTTGAATCTATAGATCCACCTGCATAAGAGGGAGAAATCAAAGGGCATGTGTATTTTCTATTTTGATATTGTCAAACTGCCTGCACCATTTATACTCTGTGTTAGCTTCCTTTTATTTTTTTGAGATGGAGTTTCGCTCTGTCGCCCAAGCTGGAATGCAATGGCGCGATCTTGGCTCACTGCAACCTCCACCTCCCGAGTTCAAGTGATTGTCATGCCTCAGCCTCTCAAGTAGCTGGGATTACAGACACGTGCCACCATGCCTGGGTAATTTTTGTATTTTCAGTAGAGATAGGGTTTCACCATGTTGCCCAGGCTGGTCTCCAACTCCTGACCTCAGGTGATCTGCCCACGTTGGCCTCCCAAAGTGCTGGGATTACAGGTGTGAGCCACTCCACCTGGCCGGCATGGTTGCATTTTTTTGTTTTTTGTTTTTCCTGTTTTTGAGATGGGGTTTCGCTCTTGTTGCCCAGGCTGGAGTGCAATGGTGCGATCTCAGCTCACCACAATCTCCGCCTCCCAGGTTCAAGTGATTCTCCTGCCTCAGCCTCCCGAGTAGCTGGGATTACAGGCATGTGCCACCATGCCTGGGTGATTTTGTATTTTTAGTAGAGACGGGGTTTCTCCATGTTGGTCAGGCTGGTCTCGAACTCCCAACCTTAGGAGATCCACCTGCTTCGGCCTCCCAAAGTGCTGGGATTACTGGCTTGAGCCACTGCGCCTGGCCTGGTTGCAATTCTAATAGGCTGCTCAGGGAAGGCCTTGCTGAGAAGGTGATGTTTGAGCAACGACTTGAAGGAACTGCCCATGTCGTCAACTGGGGAGGAGTACCCCAGCAGAGGGAACAGTGAGGCAAAGGCCCTGAGTCAGGATCCTGGCTGGAGAGGACACAGGAACCTGGAGAGTGGTGGGAGTTGGGGTTACAGAGGAAAGTGCGGGGGGAGTGGAAATCAGCAAATTGTGTAGGGCCTTGGAGGCCACAGGGAGGGTTTTGGCTACTCTGAGTTAGGTGGGAGCCATGGGAAGGTTTGGAGCGGAGGAGGAACATGACCTAGTTTATGTTCTAACAAGATCTGTCTGGCTACTGTGTAGTAATTAGACTTGGGGAGTCAAGGCGTGGAGTAGGGTGGGGTTCAAAACTCAGAAGCCAGGAGACCGGGGGAAGCTGGTGCAATGATCCAGATCGAGGCGCTGGTCGCTGGTGGTTCAGACCATGGAATCAGCCACGGGGATGTCGAGGTGTAGTTGGGTACAGGATATATTTCCAAGGTTGAGTTGACAGGACTTGCTGATGGATTGGATACAGGGTGTGAGGAAAGAGAGGAGGTTTTGGCTGGAGCAGCCAGAAGAATGGGGACGCTACTCTCTAAGACGTGGGCAGCATAGTAGAGGCAGGTTTGGTCAGGGAGGGGTGGTAACAAGGAGAACAGTTTGAGATAGTTGAGTTTAAATTCAACATCCAGGTGAATGCAGATGGGAACGCAAGCCTGGAGTTTAGGAAAAACTAGGTTTGAGAATAATAGCCGCCACCTCAGAGGTTGTCGTCCTGGTTAAATGAATTCCCGAATTCTGTAAGGCACTAAGAACAAGGCCCAGCCCCTGGTGAGTGCCAAAAGGGGTTAATTACTCTTCCAGGCCTGGAAAAGATCTTACCTTTGGCTTCAGCCCCCTCTCCCACACCCTGGCCCTCACATTCCTTTCAGAACTAGAGGAAGTGTGTTCTCAAGGTGGCTGAGAAATCTCCTTCCCACCCAAAGACAGGAGCTCCACACTCAGGCAATAGGCCAATCAGGCTAAGCACTTTTTTTTTTTTTTTTTGAGACAGAGGCTTGCTCTGTTGCCCAGGCTGGAGTGCAATGGTGTGAACTTGGTTCACTGCAACCTCCACCACCCGGGTTCAAGCAATTCTCCTGCCTCAGTCTCCCGAGTAGCTGGGATTACAGGCATGCACCACCATGCTCAGCTAATTTTTGTATTTTTAGTAGTTATGGGGTTTTACCATGTTGGCCAGGCTGGTCTTGAACTCCTGACCTCAGGTGATCCACCCACCTCGGCCTCCCAAAGTCCTGGGATTACAGGCGTGAGCCACCTCGCCTGGCCCAGCCACCCCTCCAGGCCCTAGGCTGAGCATTTAAATCCACTGCAGGACTTGGGTGGAGCTGGAGGCCATTATCCTAAGTGAAGTAACTCAGGAACGGAAATCCAGATACGGTAGGTTCTCACTTATATAAGCGGAAGCTAAGCTATGAGGATGCATAGGCATACAGAGTGATATAACGAACTTTGGGGACTGAGTCCAGGGAGGTTGGGAGGGGATGAGGGATAAAAAACTGCGTATTGGGTACAGTATACACTGCTCAGGTGATAGGTGTACTAAAATCTCAGAATCACTATAGAACTAATTCATGTAACCAAAACCCACTTTGACCCCAAAGGCTACTGAAATAAAAAGAATTAAAAATAGGCCGGGCGCGGTGGCTCACGCCTGTAATCCCAGCACTTTGGGAGGCCGAGGCGGGCGGATCACGAGGTCAGGAGATTTGAGACCATGCTGGCTAACATGGTGAAACTCTGTCTCTACTAAAAATACAAAAAATTAGCTGGGTGTGTTGGCAGGCACCTGTAGTCCCAGCTACTCATAGTCCCAGCTACTTGGGAGGCTGAGGCAGGAGACTGGCATGAACCCGGGAGGCGGAGCTTGCAGTGAGCTGAGCTCGTGCCACTGCACTCCAGCCTGGGTGACAGAGCCAGACTCCGTCTCGAAAAAAATAAAAAAGAATTAAAAATAAAAATAAAAAATAAATCACTCACCTCTCTGATCATCAGTTACCGCATCTGTAAAATGAAGACAATAAGTCTGGGTAAGGTGGCTCACCCGGTAATCCCAGCACTTTGGGAGGCCGAGGCAGGCGGATCATTTGAGGTCAGGAGTTCAAGACCAGCCTGGCCAACATGGTAAAACCCCGTCTCCACTATAAATACAAAAATTAGCCAGGCGTGGTGGCGTGCACCTGTAATATCAGCTACTTGGGAGGCTGAGGCAGGAGAATTGGTTGAACCCAGGAGGCAGAGGTTGCAGTGAGCCAAGATCGCCCCACTGCATTCCAGCCTGGGCGACAGAGCGAGACAACATCTTAAAAAAAAAAAAAAGAAGACAATAATTCCTTTCTCAACAGGTTATCCTGAGGAGCGAATGAGAAATAATGGGTCGTGCCCAGCACACAGTAGGTGCTCCTGAGTCTGTGTCTTTCTCCTCCCCACGCCCCAGTGGCCAGGGAGAAAGGAAACAAAGTCAGTATCCATCCCAGCTGTTTATTGAAAGGGAAGGTGGGATGGAAGGGGTGCAGGATGAGGAGGGGGCGTGAGGCACAAGGACAGTAGGGTGTGCCCTGGTGGGGGCCGCCTGAGGATCCCCTAGGAGGCCCTTCAGGCTGGTGGAGACTGAAGGTAAGGGTTAGGGAGGGGAGGGGCGAGAGCCTTGAGCGCTGCTCTCCAGCTGCATCAGAGCTCCCTCTAGTGGTACAGAAGAGAGATGACGCCTCCGGCTGGGGAGGGAGGGGCTGGCGCCTCTGAGAGAGCCCATTTATTATCAGGGTCACGGCCAAGACCGTGGGCTTGGTTTCTAGGTAGGTGGACTTTGAGGGGCAAAGACAACCCACTTTTCCTGCCCCCTACCCCCGGCTCTTAGAGACCATTTAAATCCATATCCAAAGTATATCCAGAGCCACCTGGGACCATCAGGCCTCTGGCTAGTCTTTCTGGGCCAAACCTGTCCTCCACCCTGAGGACCCTCAGGGAACCAGGAAGGTGAGGGGCTGGCTCCGCCCCACCTGTAGCACAAGAGCTGGCCCAGGAGGAGGCTGAAGATGTGTTTCTAGTTCCTGCATGCTGCTTTGTTGTGTGACCTCGGACATGTCACCTCCAGCCTTCTTCACCCACCTCACCTATCAACTAGGGCTAGTAATTGCCTGTGGTGGGTGGGCTGGGGGGCTCTGATGCCAAAATGCAGGTAGAAGACACACTGTGAGAGGCAAACGTCTTCACTCATCCTGCAGGGAAAGGCCAAGTGAGCATCTGGGACCCATTCGAGCTGAATGACCCCCACCCCTTCATCTGTGTCTATGGAGGGCAGTGCGTGTCCTCATCCTGGCGAGAAGAGGAATCTGATCCAAAGCCCTCATGGCAGAGAGGCAGGAGCTGATGGCTTGAAAGGGCAAGGGTTTGCCCAAGGTCATGCAGAGGAAGGAGTGGGGACGGGTTGAAGGAGATGTTTTCTGCCCCTGAGGGCCTTGGGAAGAGGGTGTGGGTAGGAAGTTTTGGGAGGACTTGAGGAATGCTGGTATCTTGGAAGAGTTGGGGCCCCACTCCTGGGGAGGGAGCACTGGGATTTGAGCTCCAGATTTGACCTGGAGTTGGGCTCTAAAGGGACCCTGCTAAAAGGGAGAAGTTGGGGAAACACTGAGAGGGGGTTATGGTGAGAAGGGGGGAAGGATCCAGGACCCACATCTTAGGCCATGTGGGCAGCTCAGGAGTCCCTCTTGGGCTGGATAGTCTGCACAGAAGATTGCCCAAAGGGGCTGGCGGGTGGCGAGAACCATGACTGGCCACTGGCATTGCGGAAAATGGGTGACAACTGCTGCTCTGGCTCATCCCCGAAGACCTCCACGTGGCTGTCGGCTTCGGGGTCCAAGGGCTCTGCCTTGGTGTCCTGGCTCAGCCAGCCTATCATGGCCCAGAAGAGGCAGATGGCGAGCAGAACTCCAGCTGCCACACAGAGCGCTGTGCCTGCCAGGCGACAGGTGCCCAGGGCCTGGTTGTAGTCGGCTGCCCGCTGATCCAACACCAGGAACTCACCCTCACCGATGCCCTCCAGCTTGGGGGGCACTGCATAGCCAGTGGTCAGAGCCGCCACACCCAGCAGCAGAAGCAGGGTCCCCGAGGACAGGCTGATCTAGGGAGAAGCAGACAGACCAGGAAGCAGTCAGGGTCAGCCAGGGGCCCCTGGCCAAGGGATCACCTTGGATCCTCACCAGACTTAAGGGTAACCCCTTGATCCATCCTCAGGAGATGGGAATCACAGAACACACTTGCTGGGGTCTAACTGACAGGAGGCATAAACTGTCATGTTTTATTTGGAATCCTGAGGCCTCTTAATTTCCTTCCCAGCTCCCACCTAGCAGTGGGTTTCTCCGGCCAACCCTGTGTTTCCCTCCATCCCAACTCATCTCTTTATCCTTTCTACCTTCCTGTCTCTGTTGGGTTAACTCCTATGCACCATCAGATCTCATCTCAAACCTCACCTCCTCAGGGAGAAGACCCCTGGACTGAGTCAGGTCTCTTGCTTTACTCTGGGCAAACTGTGCCCATTCATTCTTCAATACACTTACCATTGTGCACACTTGGACATGTATTTTGGTTGCTATGTAAGTGACGTCTGCCTCTCCCGCAGTACTGAGAGCTCCATGAGAGCAGACTGTGCCTGTTTTGGCTCACTAGGAGTCTTCTGTGCCTAGCACGTGCCGGCACAGAGCAAAGGCTGAATAAATGTTTGCTGAATGATTAAATAAACCACAGCTAAAAGAGTTCCTCGAAGACAGGGACCTCATGTCTTAAATTCTGTGTTCCCAAGAGCCTAGCACAGTGCCTCGCAATAAGAAGATGCTTAAAAATTTTAAATACACACTAACCTTTCCTTGGAAGTCTTCCTTGATCATTTCCTCTCCTGGTGTTCCCTACAGACCTGACCTGAAGTTATGTAAGTTGGCCTCTCTGCAGAGGTTGGCACCTTACCTCCTCACTAGAGTGAAGTCCTTTGAAAGCAAAAGAAGGGACCCTCTGCCTCAGTCTCCCGAGAATATTTAGCAAAGAGCTATGCCCATAGCAGGCACTCAGCTCATTGCCACCTCTACACCTTGACCCATTGGTGCACCCTGGCCGACTAGTCTCCTTGGCTGTTAAAGACATCAATTCTTCACATTTTTTCTCTGCCCTGGCAAGGTACTCCAGTCTACCATTGAGAAACCACAGTAAGATTTAAGTGAGATGAACCTCACTTCCTGCCAGTCAGCATAGTCCATCTCTTAACCATAGTAATTAGTTCAAGGCTGGCAAGTGACCCAATGAGAGCCAACACAATGCTTGTCAGGACTTCTGGGAATTAAAAGCATTGTTTCTTATAAATGATTTTTAAATTTCTGAATCTTTTACCTCTCCATATAAACTACAAGTGTGCAAAGTGGTAAGTGTATTGAAGAATGAATGGGCACAGAGTTTGCCCAGAGTAAAGCAAGGGACCCGACTCAGTCCAGGGATCTCCTCCCTGAGGAGGTGACATTTTGACGTCCACAAAATAACGTGCTGGGGTTTTGATTGGCATTGCATTGAATCAAAGATCAGGTTGGGAAGAACTAACATCTTGACTATTCCAATCCACGAATATGAACTATTTCTCCATTTATTTAGTTATTTGATATCTTTTGAGTTTTGTAGTTCTTCTCATATTACAGATATTTTGTTAGATTTACACCTAAGTATTTCTCTCTTCTTTGGTGCTAAGGTAAATGGTAACATGTTTTTAATATCTTACTATTTTGCTTTCTCTCTTCCTTTCTTCTCTCTTTTCTTTTCTTGACAGAGTCTCACTCTGTTGCCCAGGCTGGAGTGCAGTGGCACAATCATGGCTCACTGCAGCTTCAACCTCCTGGGCTCAAACGATCCTCCTGGCTCAGCCTCTTGAGTAGTAGGCATCACAGGCCCGCGCCACTACATCCAGCTAATTTTTTATTTTTAGTAGAGATGAAGTCTCACTATGTTGCCCAGGCTGATCTTGAATTCCTGGGCTCAAGCAATCCTCCTGCTTCAGCCTCTCAAAGTGCTGGGATTACAGGTGTAAGCCAGTACCTGTGGCCATTTTTTGTTTGTTTGTTTTTTTAAGACAGAGTTTCACTCTTGTTGTGCAGGCTGGAGTGCAACGGCACGATCTCTGCTCACTGCAACTGCTGTCTCCCGGGTTCTAGTGATTATCCTGCCTCAGCCTCCAGAGTAGCTGGGATTATAGGCGCCCATCACCACACCCAGCTAATTTTTGTATTTCTAGTAGAGATGAGGTTTCACCACGTTGGCTAAGCTGGTCTCGAACTCCTGACCTCAGGTGATCCACCCACCTTGGCCTCCCAAAATGATGGGATTACAGGCTATTTTCTTTTCTGAAGGAAATACCACAGGAAATGCTGACTTCCCTTAGATGGTGTGGAGTGAAGACCTGAGAGTCCACACAGTAGTGGCCATTTGGGGAACATGTGGGGAGAGTCTGAAGCTAACAGGCTACCAGGGTAGGGGCACCATGAGGAGGCTGAAGACTAAGAAAACTTGCAAAGTCCTTGGTATAAAGGGTTGAACTGCTGGATCAAACTTTGCCTGAAAGTATGCAACCTTGGACCTTGGGTCTCTTCTAAAAAATGAGCAACATTTTCCCTTCTTTTTTCTTTTTTTTTTTTTTTTTTTTTTTTTTTTTTGAGACAGAGTCTTGTTCTGTCGCCCAGCTGGAGTGCAATGGTGCAAACTTGGCTCACTGCAACCTCTGCCTCCTGGGTTCAAGCAATTCTCCTGCCTCAGCCTCCTAAGTAACTGGGATTACAGGCGCCTGCCACCACGCCCGGCTCATTTTTTTTTTTTTTTTTTTTTAGAGGGAGTTTCGCTCTTTCACCCAGGCTGGAGTGCAATGGATTGATCTCAGCTCACTGCAACCTCCACCTTTTGGTTTCAAGTGATTCTCCTGCCTCAGCCTCCCGAGTAGCCGGGATTACAGGCGCCCGCCACCACACCCAGCTAATTTTTGTATTTTTAGTACAGACAGGGTTTCACTATGTTGGCCAGGCTGGTCTCCAACTCCTGACCTCGAGATCCACCAGCCTCAGCCTCCGCCTACCAAAGTGCTGGGATTACAGGCGTGAACTACCGCACCCGGTCCATTTTTGTATTTTTAGTAGAGAAAGGGTTTCGCCATGCTGACAGAGCAGGTGTTGAACTCCAGACCTCAGGTGATCTGCCCACCTCAGCCTCCCAAAGTGCTGGGATTACAGGCATGAGCCACCATTATTTACATACAATAAATATGTAAATAATTATGTAAATAATTTGTATGTAAATACAAATACAATGAAGGCTCCCTTCATTATTTAAACCCATTTGAATTGGGTTTTCTGTTGCTTGACTGTGCAAGACTCCTAACTACTACGCTATCTCTTCTTTTTTCCTCTGAGCCTCAAATTCAGACTCATTTCCTCCATCAAGGCAGAGGAATCATGGGAGGTGCTCATCTGGCCTTACCTTCCAACACAGTGAGGGCCAGGGCCGGCGGGGGCACAGGACCGGAGGTCCCTCAGGGTCGTCGCTGAGAGCAGTGCCTGCACAGTCCTCATAGAAGAGGTGCAGGTAGGAGCGGACCCCATACCACTTGCCATCCTCCACGCTGGGGCCGCGGCTGCAGCTGCAGGAACGATTGCAGCTCGGCATCATGGACCCCTGGGGAGCAGGTAAGGTGCAGCTGACGGAGGGAGGGATTAGTGGGAGCTGCTCATGGTGACCTTCATAAGCCCCCTAAATCTTTGTGCCCCACCCGCTTCTCCTCCCACTCGAGACACCCTACACGCATAGCACAGTCTGGCCTTTTGGAATCCCAGCCTGTCCTTCCCAAAGCACACTGCGAATGAGCCAATGCACTGAAGGCCTTAGCCCAGTGCCTGGCAATTGGAGGTGTCAATAAATGTGCATGTTTACTCTGGAGGCCACCCAGTACCTGGGACTGTGGGCTCTGGAGCCTGACCACTTGGACTGGAGTCGTGGACACACTGCTTCCTGGAGGCGTGACCTTAGACAAGTGCTTCCACCTTTCTGGGTCTCAGTTTCCTCATCTGTAAAACAGACCTAATAATCATACTTCTTTCATACAGTTACTGTGTCTAATGCTGAGAAATGGTAGCTGTTGTGATTAGTACTGTAATTTTTTTGCTATTACTTCCATCTTGAACTTTTTAGTCTCCATATCTGGAATGAGAGAGCCTCACCCTCCGCTCCCCTTCAGACCCCCTCCTGGGGGTAATTGTCATGGCTGACACTTGGGCTGGAGTTCCCAAGCTGCAAGGCTATAAAAAGGTCCTCCCCAGGACTGCCCCTGAAAGCCTCCAGATTCCAATGAATTTTGACTCCATTGGAAGTGAAAGTCAGGGTCCCTCAGGATTAAAGACTCTTAGGCTTAAGGGCTGTTAGATTTCCAGAGAAACCTATCAAATAACCTTTTTTTTTTTTTCCACAAAAGTGGACACGGATCTTGGGAATGGAAGGTACTTGTATATCCATATACAGGTTTGGCCCGAACCAAAGCCAGGAGGTGTTGGGGGAGGACTGGGCTTCTACCCCAGTCTCCATGATGGCCCTCAGCCTTAATTAGCAGCCTCCTGCAAAATGAAACAATGTGCTTGTTCCAAAGGGTAAGATAAAGGTCCTGACAGCTGCCCCTCACTTCCAATCAGATGTGGTCCTCAAATCCCTGCATAGAGAAACTCACCGAAACAGCACAGAGAAACACACAGACATACTCACAAAGCATACAGAGACATACCCAGATAGGTACGACACACACACACACACACACACACACACACACACACACACACACGGTTGGAGGTTCTGCTTGGAGTCACACGGCACACAAGATTGCTGTCAAGAAAGCCTGTCCATAAATAGTGGCTGTACACCCTCCTCACTTACAATTCAGGGAAAAGAAGAGCGGGGAAGGAAAGGAGGAAAAACAACAACAACAAAAGCCACGACAGAGAACGGGAAAAGGCAGAGACTGAAAGCGAAGGACCGTCGGAGGAGGAGGGCGAGAGGTCTGGAGAGGAGGGCTCGCCGGAGGAGGCGGGCGGGGCGGGCTGTGCGGAGGGTGCGGCCAGCGCGGTACCCGCCCCGGCGAGGCGCTGGGGAGGCCCGGGTGGGGAGAAGAAATGGGGCCTGGGGGACGGTAGGAGCCTCCGTGCGGAGACCACTGTTCAAGGCCACAGGTGAGGAGGTGTGGAGGGGGCTTCGGGGCTGTTGACCTGGGTCAGCTCCTCCCCTCCAATTCACCGCTTCCGCGACTCCAAATAGATGGAATCACTCAGTCCTGCTGCTACTGGAGAGGGAAGGTGACCTTGACGCTGCCTCCCGCTCGGCCTGGCCCCTCCGCCTGGCGTTTCAGGGCTGCACGGAGTAGGTCTGGCGGGCGGGGGGCGGGGCGCAGGCACCCGGGACGAGGGTTGCCATGGGAACCGCTAGGGAGGCGTCCCCAGCCCGGGAGCCGGGAGGAGCTCGGTGGGAGGGGAGCGGGAGGCGGAGGGGGCTGCGCTGTCCGACGTGGGGAGACTGCGGCGGAGGGAGGAGGCGAGGGGCGGCAGGCACGGGCGGAAGTGACGGAAGCCAGGGCCCGAAGATGGACGGAATCTGTCGCCTCTGCACAGCCTCATTCAGTTGTGTCCTTCCCAGACCCTCAGACTCGCCCACTACAGCGTCCAGCGCTGCCCGGGCGGGGGAGAAGGGGCGCCCTCCCGGGGGGGATGGGTAGGGGGTGTCGGCCGGGGAAATCAGGCCATTTCCCGCCTCCCTTCCCCACCGGCACCCGCGCCACTCTTCCTGACAGGACCACCGATGCCCTGCTCCACACCAACTGCGTCCTTTTCCCTAGAGAGAAACTGAGGCAGAGAGGGGTAGGAATGGGTTTTTGAAGTGTTGGCGGGGGTGGGGGTGTCCTTTGAAGCCTCTACCCAGCCTATCAACCCTGAGGCGTCGAGGGGCGATGGGGCTGTTTCTGTCTCCCGCCCCTGCTGCTTCCCTGGGACCCCCACCTCCCAAAGCCGAGGCTCAGGCGCAAAGGTCCCGGCCCTGGCGGGACACGGCCCGGGCTGAGGATGCGGGCAGAGCGCGGGGGTTCTCCAGGGGCTGGGGCTGGGGCCTGGCCGCGCGTGGGGCAGGGCTAAGCTCACCTCTCTGCCTGCTGTCTCCGCCGAGCAAAGGCGGGTCCGGTTCGCGCCTGCGCCGCAGTTCGGGGCGGGGGAGGGGGCGCCGGCCCGCCTCAGGGCCTGGCTCTGCAGACGGCGGCCGCCTGCAGCTCCCCCGGCTCCTGTCCCCTTCCAGAGTTCCCTGCTCGCTCGGACACCCCAGCGCCCTCACAGAGACCCCTCGGACTCCCTGGGCCCCAGCCCCTCACGCAGCCCCTCAGACTCCTCACCGAAGCTGCCGTCACTCCCGCAGTTCCCCACCCCTCCCGTGGAAGACCCATCCCTTAACCGAGCCTTCCTCTCCTCGCTGCACCGTCAGTCCCTTTTCCAGGTCTCCATCCCCCTCATGGAGCCCCACCCCAGCGTAGAAACCGCTTCTCCTCGCCGGGCCCCCGCCCTCTTCACAGGCTCCCATCTGTCTCCGGGCTCCTACCGGGAAGTCCCCTCCCACTTGCCTTGAGAGCCGCTAATCCCTCTGGAGTCCTCACATCTCACTCAGTCCCCATCCTCTTTTCATCCTCTTTTCCTCTTTGAGTCCCTACCCATCCCTGGTACGGGATCAGCCCTTGTACCTTGAGAAGGGAGTTTGGGTGGAGGACTCGGGGTTGGGAGAGAAGTGACCTCCACTTTGGAAGGAGCTAATGACAGCCTCCCTTGTTGTTTCCTCCCCTAGCCCCAGTTCTGCCCTGGGCAATGCGTGCCCACTGCCCATCTCCCTGGAGAGCCAGCCTGTGCCAGGCAGCTGCATCTGCCTCCCACCCTGTCATGAGCTGTCAGCCTTGATTTTGTCCCACATTTGCTGTGTGATCTTGGGAAAGTCATTGTGCCCCTCCAACCGTCATCAAGCACCCTTGCACAGACATGCCTTTGTGTCTTGAGCATCTATTCTGTTTCTCCTTGTGCTAGGGGCTGGGGACACACAGAAGAATGAGCTCGGCAAGATAGGGCCACATCTTCCTTTTTAGTTTTTCTTTTTCTTTTTTTTTAATTTTTATTTTTTTGAGACAGCGTCTCACTCTGTTGTCCAGGCTGGAGTGCGGTGGCATGATCACGGCTCACTGCAGCCTCGATCTCCCAAGGCTCAGGTGATCCTCCCACCTCAGTCGCCTGAGGAGCTGGGACTACAGGCACGCACTACCATGCCTAGCTAATTTTTTGTATTTTTAATAGAGACAGGGTTTTGCCATGATGCCCAGGCTGGTCTTGAACTCCTGAGCTCAAGTGATCCACCTGCCTCGGCCTCCCAAAGTGCTGGGATTGTAAGCGTGAGCCACCGCGTCTGGCCAAGGCCACATATTTCTTGTTCGTGTTGTATCTGTGAGCCTCCCATAGTGCTTGGCACTGAGTAGGCAGCCCAGTAAATATTTACTGAAGACAGTCTAATAATAGTAGCAAACTTATTATGCTCACTATGTGCAAAGTGTTTAAGCGTTTTGTATGTTCTATTTACTTACTCATTTAAGTGTGTGTGTGTGTGTGTATGTGTGTGTGTGTGATGGGAGGAACTCTTGCAGCTCAAAACTAAAGGCCCCAAATGGTGACAGGAGATGGCATTGGAGAGGCAGGCAGAAGTGAGACCTTGTGGGGCCTCATAAGCCAAGGTAAGGAGTTTGAGCTTCAGCCCAAGGGTAGTGGGGAGCCATGGAAGGGTTATGAAGAGGGGTGGGATGTGATCTGATTTTCATTCTGAAAAGACCTCTGGCTGCTGTCAAGAGAACAGCATGTTGAGCACAAGAGTGACAGCAAGAGATCAGCAAAGAGATCAGAGATGACAGTGTCTTGGCCTGGTGCAGAGAAATGAAGACATTCAAGAGATGTTAGCCTGTAAAATGAACTACAGGAATAGCTACAGATTGGAAACAACCTGTGGTGGTTTTAAAATATAGCTACAAATTCTTTAGCACTCCTCTGTAGAGAGGTGGGATCCTTGTACCCTCTCTGAATCTTGGGTGAGCTGATGACTGCTTCAACCAATGGAGTACGGTGGAAGTAACACTCTGACTTCTAAGGTCCAGACATAAAAGTACAGGCAACTTCTGCTAGAACTCTAGCTCTTGGAGCCTGAGGCACCATGCCTACCTAGGGCTCCATGTCTGCTTAGAGGCTGCCATGCTGTCAGGATGCCAAGACCATCAGGAGAGGACACATGAAGGCACCACAGTCCCAGCTAAGCTTAGCTTTGAGTCATCCCAGTTCAAGCATAAAAGAAGTGAGTGAAGAAGAACCAGATGAGGCCAGGCACGGTGGCTCACACCTGTAATCCCAGCACTTTGGGAGGCCAAGGCGGGTGGATACCCTGAGTTCAGGAGTTCGAGACCAGCCTGGCCACATGGCAAAACCCCGTCTCTACTAAAAATACAAAAATAGCCGGGCATGGTGGCGTGCACCTGTAATCCCAGCTACTAGGGAGGATGAGGCAGGAGAATTGCTTGAACCCGGGAGGCAGAGGTTGCAGTGAGCCGACATCATGCCATTGCACTGTAGAAGGCGAAGGGGAAGGGGAAGAACAAGATGATTCCAGTGGCCAGCCATTTGAATCAGCTTCAGCCTTCAAATCTTCAAATCTTCCTAGCTGAAGACTCAAACATTGCAGAGTAGAAACAAGCTGGCCTCACTGTGTCCTGCCTGAATTCCTGACACACAGAACCCACAAGCATATTCAAGTGGTTATTGTGTTATACCACTAGGTTTGGGGGGTTTTGTTCTGTGCTAACAGATAACTGGGACACCACTTAAATATCCATCAATGGAAGACGAGTTATGTACATTATATGTCTTTGTGGAATACTATGCATCCATTAGAAAGAAGAAATTAGTCTATAATTATTTATATTAATCACACTTCAAGTGAAGAAGGATGCAGTGTTCTGAAAAGTCTTGATAGTATGCCTCCATTTGAAATTCTCAAAAAGATGGCACATATAGAGAACTTCTGGGAAAATAGACAAGAAAGAGGTAACAGTAGATGCCTTGGGGGAGGGTAACTGATGGCAAGGGTGGGAATGAAATTCACTTTTTTTTTTTTTTTTTGAGATGGAGTCTCGCTCTGTCACCAGGCTGGAGGGCAGTGGTGCGATCTCAGCTCACTGCAACCTCCGCCTCCCGGGTTCAAGCGATTCTCCTGCCTCAGCCTCCCCAGTAGCTGGGACTACAAGCACATGCCACCATGCCCAGCTAATTTTTTTTTGTATTTTTAGTACAGATGAGGTTTCACCATGTTGGCCAGGATGGTCTCTATCTCCTGACCTCATGATCTGCCTGCCTCGGCCTCCCAAAGTGCTGGGATTACAGGCATGAGCCACTGTGCCCGGCCGAAATTCACTTTTTACTATACACCTCTATGTTAGTTATCTATTGATTTTGTAAAAATTTAGGTGAGAAATGATGAAGAATTGGAGTGGGCAGGAAAAATGGAAAGGAGGGTGCAGGTGTGAAAAATGTCCATAAAGTTAAGTTGGCAGAACTTGGTTACTAAGAAGTAAGGGAAGTGACAGGGATTGAGAGAGAGAGAGAGAGACAGAGAGAGGGAGAGAGACAGAGAGGATAGAGGCTGACTTTTATGTTTATAGGTCAGGTGGGTGATGCTCCCATTAACAGAGATGTAAAATAGATGAGGGAAAGCCAGGTTGTGGAGAAGTTGATGCCCTTTGCTTTTGGCAGAGTTGAATGGCACTGTACAGGACATTCTGGCCTAGAGTCAGGGGCAAGGTCTTGGCCTTAGATACAACATAGGGAATTGTTCTCACTGGAAATGGCAGTTTTAAACTTGAACTGGCTTTAAACAAAGGGAATATAAAGGCTCACATAATTGAGAAGTCAAGGGATACTGGCTTCAGGCATGGCTGTATCCAGATGCTCAGGATCTTTCTCTTTATCTCTTGGCTCTTCCCTCATCTGTGTTGGCTTCAATGTCAGGCAGATTTTCCCTATATGGTAGCAAAATGGCCACAGACTTCAAATTTAACTGCTGGGAAAAGAATCTGTTTCTCCTTATAGTCTCAGGAAAAGCCCTGATGTTGATTCCCCTCACCCCAGTTAGATAATATGTCATTTACTGAACCCACTGGAGTGTCTCTGATTGGCTGGTTACTTGCTCACCCTTTGGGTGGCTGGCAGTGCTTAACCCAGAGAAACCTCTTGGACTGAGAACCTGCTTGAAGAGCTTCCCTAAAGGGAAATTGAAATACTGTTACTGTAAGAAAGGGCAGTGGGGCCAGGCCCAGTGGCTCATGCCTGTAATCCCAGCACTTTGGGAGGCTGAGGCAGGTGGATCACAAGGTCAGGAGTTTGAGACCAGCCTGACCAACATGGTGAAACCCTGTCTCTACTAAAAATACAAAAATCAGCCGGGTGTGGTGGCATGCACCTGTAGTCCCAGCTACTCCGGAGGCTGAGGCAGGAGAATCACTTGAAGCTGGGAGGCGGAGGTTGCAGTGAGCCAAGATCGTGCCACTGCACCGTAGCCTGGGTGATAAGAGTGAGACTCTGTCTCAAAAAAAAAAAAAAAAAAAAAAAAAAAAAAAAAGGGCAGTGGATGTAGAGCTGGCAAAAACAATGACATTGAGATGAAGCGTGCTCAGGTCAGAGCTCTAACGAAGCCCTCTGCTGCAGACTGAATGTTTGTATCTCCCTCATATTCATATGTTGAAGTCCTAAGGTGATGTTATTTGGAAGTGGGCCTTTGGGAGGGATTACAGCCTGATAAGAGGAGACTTGAGAGCTTGCTTCTTCTCTGTGCCATTTGGGGCTACAATAGGATGGTCGTCTGTACACCAGAAGTCAGGCCCTTGGTTGCCAGCAGAATGGAATTTGCCAGCACCTTGATCTTAGACTCTTCACCCTGCAGACCTGAGGAATAAATGTGTGTTGTCAAGCCACCTGCTCCATGCTAAATTGTTATAGTAGCCCAAGCAGATTAAGATGCCTCTGTTTGGCTGTCTATGGCTGCATAACAGACCACTCCAAATCCAATGATTTTTATCATCTTTCACAATTTCTGTGGGTCAGGAATTTGGGAAGGGCTCATCTGGGTGGTTCTGCCTTGGTGTCTCTTTTGTGGTTACAGTGGAAGCCGGAGCACTGGGGAGCTGGAGCAGCTGGGAGCTGGCCAAGCATCTCTCTTCATATAGCCTCAAGGCCTCTCCATGTTGTCTCTCTGCATGAGCCAGTTGGGCTTCCTCACAGCATGGCAGCTGAGAGTGTTGACACCTCTTACACTGTAGCTCAGGACTCCCATGAGTCAGGCCACATTGCCTTTATGACCCAGCCTCACAAGTCACCATAGAATCATTTCTACTGTAGTCTGAGTCACTAAGTTTGGCTCAGATTCAAGGGGAAGAAACAGACTCTGTTACTCAGTGGGAGGAGTCTTAAAGAATTTATAGACATGGTTGGGCACGATGGCTGAAGTCTGTAATCCTAGCACTTTGGGAGGCCAAGATGGGAGGATCGCTTGAGCCCAGGAGCTCGAGACCAGCTTGGTCAACACAGGGAGCCCCTATCTCTCCAAAAAACTTAAAAGTTAAAAAAAATTAGCTGAGCATGGTGGCACGCACCTGATCGCACCACTGTATCCAGCTCGGGCAACAAAGTGAGACTCTATCTCAAAAAAAAAAAAAAAAATTATGGACATGTTTTAAAACCACCATACTACATTTGAAGAGGTCAGAGGAGGAGAAAGAACCACAGAAGCATCTAGAGAGATAGCGGGTGGTGGTGGGTGGGGGCAAGAATCTGGGATGTGTGTATGTGTGTTTTGGAGTGGGGGTGCATTGTGTCATAGAAACCAAAGAAACACATTTCCAAGAAGGACCTGCTCAGCCTTGCCAAGTGCATAAGAGACACACAGCGGGACAACAGGACTTAGGTTTGGCAACAAGGAGGTCAGTGGGAACCTTGGCCAGGAGAATTTAGGGTGTGATGTGGAAGGCAAGAAAGTGAGGAGGCAGGGGCCCTTTGTGGAGTGGTTTGGAGAAGGGGTGTGTATGTATGTGCACCTGTGTGTGTGTGTGTGTGAAGTGCAAAAAGCCCCACACCATGGACAGAAGGGGAGGGGGCCCCTGATATCAGAGCAGGGGTGGATGAAATCCTGGGGCAGTGGGAAGAGATGAAGTCAAATATACAGGGGGATGGGCTGGCCTTGACTAGCAAAGGAGGGATCCTGTATCCTCTGAGAGCCTGGGGAGGAGGGGAGGGGGCCACCAAGAAGAGCCACAATGTAGTGTCTGTAAGTTGAACTCTGGAGTCCAGCAGATCTGCGTTTGAATCTTAGCTCCACTACTTACTGCTTACATGATTTAAACACTCTGTGCCTCAGTTTCCCTGACTGTAAAATGAAGATAATTTAAGTACTTGCCTCTCAGAGGGGTTGAAAGAGTGAAATGAGATGTGCATATAAGACACTTATCCAAAGTACCTGGAACAAAATTAGAACTCAGCAAATTATGGTTATTGTTACTGTTATTGTTATATTAGTTTATAGGTGAGTAGGGTGGGAAGGTGAGAGACACGACACCTGATAAACTGTCTACTTTTGAGAAAAACAAGATGGATTATCTATTAAGAAATAGGAAAATTTGTCCAGGCATGGTGGCTCACACCTGTGATCCCAGCACTTTGGGAGGCTGAGGTGGGTGGATCACTTGAGGTCAGGAGTTTGAGACCAGCCTGGCCAACGTGGTGAAACTCTGTCTCTACTAAAAATACAAAAATTATCTGGACATGGTGGTACATGCCTGTAGTCCCAGCTACTCTTGAGGCTGAGGCAGGAGAATCACTTGAAGTAGAGGTTGCAGTGAGCCAAGATCATGCCACTGCACTCCAGCCTGGGTGACAGAGAGAGACTCTGAGAAGAAAAGAAAGAAAGAAAAAGAAAAGAAAAGAAAAGAAAGAGAAAGAAAGAAAGAAAGAAAAGAAAGAAAGAAAGAAAGAAAATATGGTGAAACCCCAGCTCTACTGAAAAAAAAAAAAAAAAAAAATTAGCCGGGAGTGGCAGCATGCTGCCTGTAGTCCCAGCTACTCGCTTGGGAGGCTGAGGCAGGAGAATTGCTTGAACCCAGGAGGCGGAGGTTGCAGTAATACAAGATTGTGCCACTCCAGCCTGGCGACAGAGTGAGACTCCGTCTCAAAAAAAAAAAAAAAAGTGACAAAGATGGGTATCATTTATAGAGCATTTACTATATGCTGGGATAATTAATCTTCCCAATGACCTTATGAACTTTCTTTTTTATCAATTAAAGTACTTCAAGGCTAGAATCAACTAAAGTATGAGATTGGATTTTTAAAAGGCTTTGAGTGAAAAATGTCCTGTAAAAACTCTCAGAGCCAAGATCACTTTAGAGGTGCAACTCTGCCACCTGTTATTCTTGCTAATTGCCATTACATTGAGAGTGACAGCTTTAGGATAGAAAGCAAAGGGAAAAAGCAGACTTGAGGACAATATATTGAAAAGTATTGTGGGTATGGTTTTAGTACCATTAACTACAGTCAAATCGATAAGAAACCTAAGATTTTTTTTGAGATGGAGTTTCACTCTTGTTGCCCAGGCTAGAGTGCAATGGCACAATCTTGGCTCACTGCAACCTCCACCTCCTGGGTTCAAGTGATTCTCCTGCTTCCGCCTCCCAAGTAGCTGGGATTACAGGCATATGCTACCATGCCTGGCTAATTTTTTGTATTTGGTAGAGATGGGGTTTCACCCTGTTGGTCAGGCTGGTGTCGAACTTCTAACCTTAGGTGATCCGTCCGCCTCGGCCTCCCAAAGTGCTGGGATTACAGGCGTGAGCCACTGCCCCCTGCCAGAAACCTAAGTTTTTCAGAGAATTATACTGACAAAGAAATCACAAGCCTGGGCTAAAAAGCCTATGAAGCTGGGTGCCTATAATCCTAGCACTTTGGGAGGCTGGAGGCAGGTGGATTGCTTGAGCCCAGGAATTCAAGACTAGCCTGGTCAACATGGCAAAACCCTGTCTCTACAAAATACACAAAAATTAGCTGGATGTGGTGGTGTGTGCCTGTAGTCCCAGCTCCTTGGGAGCCTGAGGTGGGAGGTTCACCTGAGCCCAAGGAGGTTGAGGCTGCGGTCAACTATGATTGCACCACTGCACTCCAGCCTGGGCAACAACAACAAAAAAGCCTGTGACTGTTTGGGTCTCAAAATGATCCTAGTCACTTCATACCCATTAGGATGACTACCATAAAACAAAACAGAATAACAAGTTTTGGCAAGGATAGGGGGAAACTGGAACCCTGTGAATTGTTGATAACAATGAAAAATGGTGCAGATGCTATGGAAAACACATAGTGATTCCTTGAAAAAGTAAAAATAGAATTACCACATGATCTGGCAATTTTACTTCTAGTTATATACCCCAAAGAACTGAAGCCAGGGGTGGTGGCTCACTCCTGTAATCCCAGCACTTTGGGAGGCAAAGGCAGGCGGATCACCTGAGATCAGGAATTTGAGAGCAGCCTGACAAACATGGCAAAGCCTCATCCCTACTAAACACACACAGACACACACACACACACACACACACACACACACACACATCAGGTGCGGTGGTGTGAGCCTGTAATCCCAGCTACTCGGGAGGCTGAGGCAGGAGAATTGCTTGGACCCAGGAAGTGGAGGTTGCAGTGAGCGGAGATTGTGCCACTGCACTCCAGCCTGGGCAATAGAGTGAGACTGTCTCAGAGAGAAAAAAAAAAGAACTGAAAGCAGTGTATCTTGAAGAGAAATTTCCAAACCCATTTTCATAGCAACATTATTCTCAATAGCTAAAAGGTGGAAGCAACCCAAGTGTCTATCAACAGATGAATGGATAAGCAAGATGTGATATACACATGCAATAGAATATTACTCAGCTTTAAAAAGAAGGAAATTCTGATACATGCTGCAATGGATAAACCTTGAGGACATGATGTGAAGTGAAATAGACCAGTCACGAAAAGTAAACACTGTATGATTCTGCTTATATGAGACATATACCATAGTCAAATTCATACATATAGAAAGCAGAATGGTGGTTGCTAAGAGCTAGGGGGAGGGGGAAATGGAGAGTTAGTGCATAGTGGATCCAGAACTTCAGTTTTGCACGATGAAGAGTTCTCAAGATGGATGATGGTGATGGTTGCACAACAATGTGACTATACTTAATATCCAGTGAGTTGTACACCTAAAGATGGTTAAGATGGTAAATGTTATGCTATCTGTATTTTACTACTCTCTCTCTCTCTCTCTATCTATATATATATAGATAGAGAGAGAGAGAGAGAGAGAGACAGAGTTTCGCTCCTGTTGCCCAGGGTGGAGTGCAATGGTGTGATCTCAGCTCACTGCAACCTCTGTCTCCTGGGTTCAAGTGATTCTCCTGCCTCAGCCTCCCGAGTAGCTGGGATTACAGGCACACACCACCACGCCTGGCTAATTTTGTATTTTTAGTAGAGATGGGGTTTCTCCATGTTGGTCAGGCTGGTCTCGATCTCCCGACCTCAAGTGATCCACCCACCTCAGCCTCCCAAAGTGCTGGGATTACAGGCGTGAGCCACCACGCCCGGCCCTCAAAATATTTTTTAATGATCCTAGGGTCCCTGACAGTTTACAGGCAGTGAGTGAGCTGAAAAAGCGGCGTACCTCCCAAGGTACTTTTGGGCCTTCTTGCTTCCAGTGGATTCCTTGCTCTTTCCTGCTTTGCAGAGCTGACCCCTGGAAGCTACTCAGCCTCCTTTGTCAGCTGGCCTCTAGCTGAGGTCACCCAAGGTGAGGCACCCACAGGAAGTTGGAGGGAGAAAGGGGGAAGCCAGGCTTTTTCTTCCCAACCATCTCTGACTTCCCTAGCCCATCTTGACTGATACAACCTCCTCATCTAAAATAGTAGCCCTTCCTTACACTTTGTCCCCTTCACTGCATGATATCATTATGTGCACTTATCTGTTTATTCATTATACGTTTCCATCTACTAGAGTATAAGCTCTGTGAGGGAAGGGACTATGTCTGCTTTATTCACTGACGAATCCCCAGTCCTTAAGACAGTGCCTGGAACATAGTAGGTGCTCAGTGACGGTTTATTGCAAAAGTGAATAAATTTGGTAGTCAAACCAAACGCATACAAGAGAAGAGGGAAGTGCTCATTTCAGCACACATATACTAAAATCAGAACAATACAGAGGGCTGGGCACAGTGGCTCATGCCTGTAATCCCAGCACTTTGGGAGGCTGATGCTGGCGGATCACTTGAGGTCAGGAGTCTGAGACCAGCCTGGGTAACACGGTGAAAACCCGTCTCTACCAAATAATACAAAAAATTAGCCCGGTGTGGTGGTGTTCACCTATAATCCCAGCTTACTTTGGTGGCTGAGGCAGAAAAATCGTTTGAACTTGGGAGGTGGATGTTGCAGTGAGCTGAGATTGTGCCACTGTACTCCAGCCTAAGTGACAGAGTGAGACTCCATCTCAAAAAATAGAAAAGAACAGGCTGGGCACAGTGGCTCATGCTTGTAATCCCAAAGTTTGGGAGTTCGAGATCAGCCTGGCTAACATAGTGAAACCCTGTGTCTACTAAAAATACAAAATTAGCTGGGCATGGTGGCGTGCACCTGTAATCCCAGCTACTTGGGAGGCTGAGGCAGGAGAACTGCTTGTACCAGGGAGGCGGAGGTTGCAGTGAGCCGGGATCGCCCCACTGCACTCCAGCCTGGGCGACAGAGTGAGACTAGGTCTCAAAAAACAAAAGAAGAAGAAGAAGAAGAAAGAAGGAAGGAGAAGGAGGAGGAGGAGGAGGAGGAGGAGGAGGAGAAGAAGAAGAAGAAGAAGAGGAAGAGGAAGAAGAAGAAAAGAAAGAAGAAGAAGAAGAAAGAAGAAGAGAAGAAGAAGAAGAAGAAGAAGAAGAAGAAGAAGAAGAAGAAGAAGAAGAAGAAGAAGAAGAAGAGGAAAGAAGAAGAAGAAGAAAAGAAGAAGAACTCTGAGGAGCATATGACAGGGAATCACAGTCTGAAATGAAAGCCAGAGAGGTCAAAGACCTCCAAGTCACACAGCAAATCCTCCACTGACCTCAAACCCAGGTCTCTGTGTATTCTGGGTTGTATCCAGCTCTACACAGAGACCCTTGGCCTCAGGTTTTCTGGAGGAGAAAGAGCAAAACTTGACATTTAGTTAAAAGGAAACCCTGAAAACAGCAGAGGGTGAGAAACTGGGTTGCTAAGAAACCCCCAAGGATGGGGGAGAGGGTTGGCATCCATTGCTAGGCAACCTAGAAGAAGCCAGACAGGCAGGTTTGGCTACAGACACCTTTCTCCCTCCTTTTCATAGACTCCTAGAATGCCAGGCTAGATATGCTCTTAAGAGACATCTAAGGCTGGGTGTCGTGGCTCACACCTGTAATCCCAGCACTTTGAGAGGCCGAGGCAGGTGGATCACTTGAGGTCAGGAGTTCAAGACCAGCCTGGCCAACATGGTGAAACCCTGTTTCTACTAAAAATGCAAAAAAATTACCTGGGCCTGGTGGTGCATGCCTGTAATCCCAGTCACTTGGGAGGCTGAGGCAGAAAAATCACTTGAACCCGGGAGGCAGAGGTTGCAGTGAGCCGAGATCACAGCACTGCACTCCAGCCTGGGCGACAGAGTGAAACTCGGTCTCAAAAAAACAAAAACAAAAACAAAACAAAACAAAAACTTCTAGTCCAACCACCTAATCATACAGATGGGGAAACTGAGGCCTCGAAAGGCAAGGTGATTAGCCCAAAGTCCCACTAATTCCTCCACATGAGCAAAGATAAATAGCATGGGTGAGGCGGGAAGCATTGTCACTGGAGAGTGGCCTGGCGTAGCTGAGGATAAAGTGACCGAAGATAAATCTATAAAAGAGTGAGGGAGTCAACTGCAAAATGCCTTGAATTTCAAGAGTTTATCCTGAGGGTAGTAAGGGGCCATCGAAAGGTTTACAGCAGTGGTCAGGTTTGTGTTTTCAAAGGACCCCGGCTGGGCATGGTGGCTCACGCCTGTAATCCCAGCACTTTGGGAGGATGAGGTGGGCAGATCATATGAGGTAAGGAGTTCAAGACCAGCCTGACCAACATGGTAAAACCCTGTCTCTACTAAAAATACAAAAATTATCCAGGTGTGGTGGCATATGCCTGTAGTCCCAGCTACTCAGGAGGCTGAGGCAGGAGAATCGCTTGAACCTAGGAGGCGGAGATTGCAGTGAGCTGAGATTGCGCCATTGCACTCCAGCCTGGGCAATAGAGCGAGACGCGGTCTCAAAAAAAAGAGAAGACCCCTTGGAGGCTGGGCACAGTGTCTCACACCTGTAATTTCAGCACTTTAGGAGGCCAAGGCAGGAGGATCTCTGGAGGCCAGGAGTTTGTGACCAGCCTGGGCAACATAGCAAGACCCCATGTTTACCATACAAAAAAAAAGACTCCTTGACCCCTTGGGCTGCAGTGTGAAGACTCGGGATAAAGTCCAAATACCTTCAAGGTCCTTCTCACTCTTGCCTGTCACCCTCCTCTCTCCACACCTTCCCCGCAAGCTGGTTAGCTTCTGTGTCAGCCACTCTTACCAGGTCTTCCCATGTACTGTTGCTGGCATCTGTAAAGTCCTTTCCTTCACCTCACTCTTCCTTATCCTATTGTTCCAGTTATTCCTTCATAACAAACTGCCCCAAAACCTAATAGTGTGGACAACTGCCATCTCATTATGTTCGTGGACTCTGGGTCAGGAATTCAGACAGGATATAGAAGGGATGGCTTGTCTCTGCTCTGTGATGGCTGGGCCTCTGCTGGGAAGGCCCTCCAACAGCTGGGAGTGAGTTGAATTATGAGGGGCTGGAATCCCCTGGAAGCTTCTCAACTCATAAGTCTGGTGCCTGGGCTCAGCTGTCAACTGGAGCAGCTACCTACACATGGTCTTCCCACGTGGCCCGGGCTGCTTCTCCACATGGCAGTCTTGGCTGTTGGCCTTTCAACATGGCGGTTCAGCGTGACTTAGCCTTGGAAATCCTGCAGCACCATGTCTGCTGTGTCCTGTTGGTTACAAATGGATCATGAAGGCCCAGCCCAGATTCAAAGGGAAGGTAATTTAAAGGAGGAATGTCAAAGAACGTGTAGCCATGTTCTAAGGTCATCACATCCTACTGAGGTTTCATGCCACAGCTTAAACATCACCTCCTCCAGGGAATGACCTGACCACACCCCACTCCATTGTCTGGGTTAAACATCTCCTCAATGTTCTCCCAGACTCACTGTCCATCGCCAGCAAAGCATTTCCATTCCTGGGTTTATGTGTCTCCTCAGACCTGTGAGCTCACTGAGGACAAATCACGTTTTTCACTTTTGTATGCCCGGCACCTAGCACGCGGCCTGGTCAAGGCAAACCTTCCCCACCCTGCCCCCCACCTTTTTTTTTTTACAGGCAGGGTCTAACTCTGTCACCCAGGCTGGAGTGTAGTGGCATGACCATGGCTCACTGCAGCCTTGAACTCCTGGGCACAAGAGATCTTCCCAGCTCAGCCTCCCGAGTAGCTGGGACTATAGGCTCACGCCACTGTGCCTGGATACTTTTTTAAATTGTATTTTTTAGAGGCAGGGTCTTGTTTCCTTGCCCAGGCTGGTCTCAAACTCCTGGCTTCAAGTGATCCTCCCACCTCGGCCTCCCATAGTGCTGGGATTACAGGCATGAGCCACCATGCCCAGCCTAGACCCTTAAGAATGTTTGTTGAATGGGTGGGTGAATGTGCTGAGGCATGGAGTCCAGTCCAGAGTCATTCCTTCCTTATGAAGCTTACATACAAATTAGAGAGAGAGAGACAAAAAGTAAAAACTACAGGTGATAAATGCCAGATAGTGATAAATGCTATTCAGAAAAATAAAGCAAAGTAACAGGATAGTTTATGGAGGATGTTACTTTATATGGATGGTCAGGGAGGACACTGTGAGGTACTCCCTGTGCCTACTCTAGGGCGCCCTGGGAGCTGAGACCTGAAGGAAGTAAGACATGTGGCTATCTGGAGGAAGGGTATTTTTTTGTTTGTTTTTTGAGGTGAAGTCTCGCTTTGTCTTGCCCAGGCTGGAGTGCAGTGATGCGATCTCAGCTCACTGCAGCCTCTGCTTCCTGGATTCAAGTGATTCTCCTGTCTCAGCCTCCTGAGTAACTGGGACTGCAGGCATGTGTCACCACGCCCAGCTAATTTTGTATTTTTAGTAGAGAAGGGGTTTCGCCATGTTGGCCAGGCTGGTCTCGAACTCCTGACTTCAGGTGATCCACCCACCTGGACCTCCCAAAGTGCTAGGATTAGAAGCGTGAGCCACCTCGCCCAGCCGGAGGAAGGGTATCTTAAGCAGAGGGAAAAGCATGTGCAAAAGCCTTCAGGCGGAAGTGTGATTGGCACTTTTGAGGAACAGCAAGACCAGTGTGACTGGGCATGTGAGAAACAGAAAAAGTAGAAGATGAAGCCGAGGCTGAGCCACAGGCTACTTCTTATGGGGCTTTGCAGGCCATGCTGAGGACTCTGGCTTCTACTGAATGAGAGTCTTTGGAGAATTTTGAACAGTGGCAGGGTGTGCTGGGATTTACAGTTTAACCAGATCACTCCGGCTGCTGTGTGGACAATAAGACTATGAGTGGGGCAAAGGAAAACGCAAGGAGCCCTTCGTATGCCCTTATATCCTGGACCCAGAGGCCATGGAAGATGTGAGAAGTGACAAGACACAGGGCATATTTTGAAGGTAGAGCCAACAGGGTATAAGGGAGATGGCGCTGGGAGGAAAAGAGGCATCAAGGATAACTGAGAGGCTTTAGCCTTTCATTTCACATCAGCTGTGCAGATGTGGTCTGTGGAAGCAGGCTTGGGAGCACTGTGGAAACAGTTCATTTTTTGGCATGTCCAGTTTGAGGTGCCAATTAGATATATCAGTGGAGATGACAAGAAGGCAGCTAGTCTAGTCATGTCTGGGATGGAGATGTAGACCTGAGAATTCTCAGCTATGATACTTCAGCTTCCCAAGTAGCTGAGACTACAGGTGTGTACCACCGTGCCTGGCTAATTTTTTTAAAAAAAACTTTACTAGAGATTAGGTCTTGCTATGTTGGCCAGGTTGGTCTTGAACTCCTGGACTCAAGAAATCCTCCCACCTTGGCCTCCCGAAGTGCTGGGATTACAGGTGTGTGATAAGCAGAATTCTAAGATGGCCCCCAAGATTCCCAGTCTCTGGTGTAGCTGCCCTAGACAGCCTCCTCCCTTTTGAGTGTGGGCAAATCTAGTATGACAGCTGTCACTCTTATAAGGCTACAATATACTGCAAAGGTGAAGGGATTTTTTGCAGATATAAAATCCCACATTAGTTGATGCCTAATCAAAAAGGAGATTTTCCTGGGTGAGTCTGACCTAATTAGGGAAGGCTTTTTTTTTCTCTCTCTCTTTTTCCTTTTTTTTCTTTTTTTTTTTTTGAGACAGAGTCTTGCTCTGTCGCCCAGGCTGAAGTGCAGTGGCTTGGTCTTGGCTCACTGCAACCTCCGCCTCCCAGGTTCGAGTGATTCTCCTGCCTCAGCCTCCCAAGTAGCTGGGATTACAGGCGACTGCCACCACGCCAGGCTAATTTTTGTATTTTTAGTAGAGAAGGGGTTTCACCATTTGGCCAGGCTGGTCTCGAACTGCTGACCTCAGGTGATCCACCCACCTTGGCCTCCCAAAGTGCTGGGATTACAGGCATGAACACACCATGCCCAGCCAGGAGAGGCTTTTAAAAGAGAGCTTAAACCTTCCCTGAGCCAAGTGACTCCAAGCAGCAGAAAAATTCTCCTCTGGCCTTGACAAAATAAGTTGCAATATTGTGAGAAGGCTGGGGAGGCCCTGTGGGGGCCATGTGGCAAGAAACTGAGCAGCTTGTAGTAATCAAGAGTGGTACTAACTGACAGCCAGCAATAGAACAGGGATCTCTGTCCTATAAGCACAAAGAACTGAATTCTGCCCACTACCGTGAGAGCTTGGAAAAGGCTGCTGAGCTCCAAGAAGGAATGCGGGCCACCAGCACCCCAGCTGCTGCCTTGTGAGATCCTGAGCAGAGACCCAGCTAAGGCATGCTGGACTCCTGATGCATGGAGACTGAAATAACAAATGCATGTTGTTTTACACTGCTAAGCTTGTGGCAATTTGTTACGCAGCAATAGATGAGAAACAATACATCAGCGTATGGTGTTTTGAAAGCCTTGGAAGCAGGGTGGCTCACACCACCCAGGCAAGGGGCATGACCCAGCAATGAGTCAATGCATGAATGGAGTGAGACTCGAGTGGGACTCAGTTCCTTGGCCTGGGACACACCCCGACTCCCACCTCCCAACTGCACAGAACCTTGGTTCTACTCCTCTTAGCCACTAGGTGGCCCCAGAGACCCCATAAGGAGCTGTCTCCCCGACCTTTCAGGTCAGCATCTGAAATGGAAGGAACCAAAATGAGATGGTCCCTCTTCTAGTCCTATTACCGACTCCCAGTACAGCCCACAAAGGGGAAGAGGCTTGCCCAAGGTTCCACAGCTCTAGCATTATCTCCGGTCAGGCATTTTACCGTGCACCCCATTCCAGGCTATTCTGTAAGACAAACTCAGATGACGACCTCCCTCCCACCTGCTTTTACCAGGGGACGGACTGGCAGTGAGAATGGCATCAGCAGGGGGCCCTGGAAGGCCTTCGGGCTGAGGCTGGAGTCTCTAATTGACGTGACTGGTGTGCAGACTAGGAAAGTGTGCAGCCCCTAGTTTGGTGCTGATGGCATCGGTGAACAGACTCTTGACATTAGGATACATCCGACCGGCCTAGCTGCAGTTGCTGGGCCACTGACCCAATTCCCTTTGTCCAGTCTCTTGAACCCTCTGTTGTAGACTGGGTTTCTCTAGAAACAGACAATGAGACTGAGTTTGGGTTGCAAGATGTTTATTAGGAATAAGCACCTGTGAAAAGAAGAGGAAGAAGAGGAAGCAGGCCTGGGCATAGGAAGTCAAATTGTGCTGCAGGCCTGACGAAGCCCTGGCTGGCCTGGGCCTGCTGGGAGTACTGTCTGTCAGTGTCCGTCCCATGTTGGATTGAAATGACCAGGTGTTTATACCATGCCTCACTCAGACACCAGATACAGGCTGCCCCAGGAAGGGCGTGGTCTCAGGTGAAGTGGCTCTCTGCAGCTGCGGCCACCCTGATGGCACTTCCCATAGCTGGGGAAGTCCTCCCTTGAAGGGAGTTCTGGGGGCAGCTGTCCCTATCTTCCACACCTTCTCAACTCTACCTCCTCTTACTTCGCCAGCTTGCTTTCAACCAGAGAAGCTGAGAAGAAGCAGTCACTGTAATTTCCACACTCAGCCCTGGCTCCTACTGGGAAAACAGAGGCTTTGTCCCAGCTTAGGAATACACTGGATCTGACAGATGAGAATTAGGGGGAGGGGTGTCAGAGGGACAAAGGAGGGAAAAGCCTTGGACTCAGTTGTAAAACACCAGTCAGAACCTCAAAGACAAGAATCACTAGACTTCTGTTGCTCTTTGGTCATTCAGTTAATCTACTCTGCAGGCCAATGTGCGCCAGGCACTGGGACCAATCCCACCACTCCAGGCCCTCAGCTGGGGGCCTAACACAATCTGCAGATTCAAACAGGGAGGGAGAGGCAGCACCCCGAAGCCATGCTTCACCAGGAAGCAGAACCAAGCCCTGTCTCTGACCCTGGCTGCTTGCAGGCCCTCCTTTAAGTTGCTTTCCTGCCTGACCCCGTTTCCTCCTCTGACAATGGAGTAACACGATGGGCACCATGGTGAATGCTTCTCACCTCAAACTTCATTTCATCCTGTGAAGCAGCTATTATTATTATCCCCACGTTATACATATGGAAAGAGTCACACGGGTGCTCAGTGGTGGAGCTGGGCTTTGAGTCCAGACAGTGTGGCCCAATCTTGCTTCTTAGTCCTCATTAAAGGCACAGAAAGGCATGGCCAAGCCAGCCCCCTCGGACCAGACCTGCCTGCATACTTGTTTCATTTGGCCCACAGAAATTTTAAAATATGAGTCTCATTTTGAAATTAAGATGACTCAGAAACATCCATCCAGCTTTTCTTGAAAAATCTGGCCACCTGGCCACTGTGGACTGCATTCCCACAGGGTCACAACTGGCAGGAGGTAGGCCCCTTGAAGTGGGTCATGACACCACTGTCCACCCAGAGTCACTCGTCTATGTTACCTGCCTGGTCCCTACAGGGATGAGTTTGCTATTCTTCATGAAGGCCAGGGAGTCCTGACATAGAGGCCTAGACAGGCAAGGTGGCTTGCCCTGGGACACCCAGCTCGGGCCCAAATCACACGGACTTGAATCTGGCAAACTGTTTAGGGAGGGTTGAGGAAGAGCACAGACATGCAGAACCACAGGGCAAGGTCGGGGCAAATACACTTTATTCAGTCCTGGCATCAGACTGGCGGAGTCCTGCTGTGGGTGCCAGTGCCCCAGACAGAGGGACCCCACCCCTCAGCTACGAGACTAGTTCTCCAAGACCACAGACAGTGACATCTCTTCACTCACATGACGTTTTTTTTTTCATTGTCTTTTTTTGTTGTTGTTGTTTTTCTTAAAAAAAAAAAAAAAAAAAATAGAGCGCAAGAAAGGCCCAGAGCCGGAGCACCAAGCTTAAAGGAGGCAGCTGGTGGCTTTGTCAGCGACGGGAACGCGTGGGGCAGAGACCTGCAGAGACCCTGGGCAGGGGTCCGGAGGACTCTGGGACCGTTTGTTCCTGAGATTTGTGTGTGTGAATGAGAGTGTGTGAGCCACCCGGGAGGGTGAACACACGCCGGTGAGATACAGGTAGTGAGGGCAAGGGGGGTGTGGGGAGGCCGGAGGGGCGGGGCGGGGCAGAGAGATGGCGGCGTGAGAGGGGCCACAGCAACAGGGACAGGGCTCCCGAGGGCACCCTGAACTGGACACAACTTCCTCCTAACAGCAGCGTTCTCCCCATTTCTCACGTGGAAAAACCGAGGTGCAAACGGCCCATCACTACTCGGAATCCATTCTCAGTCTCACTGGCCAAGTCGATGGTCTCTCCCAAACCAGATGTTTAAAAGCGAGAGTCTTCCTGCCATCACATCTGCTCTCCACGCCTCAGTCCCAAACCCCTAGCACCAAAGTGCCTCAGTTTTTCCCGCTGTATACTGCAGCTTGAGTACTGAGGGTGGACCTGGGTGACAGGAAGGGCCGGTGCGCTCAGGGAGGAGCCCAGGTTGCGGGTGCCCTGAGGTGAGGGGGCACTTCCCAGGAGGGGGTGGGGAAGGTGCAGCAGGGATCCTGTCCCCAGACAGACTGGTAAGGTGCCTTGGTTTTTAGTTTTCTTGGGTGGTCCCTTCCTCTACTGCTGGATTTCCAGAGAAAGACCTTACCTCTCAATTCCCAGTTGGGGGGAAAAAGGGACGTATAGGTAGGCTGTAGAGGCAGCCACGCGACCGGAGAGGTGGTGCGCGTGGGTGTAGGAGACCCCATACCGGAAAAGGGGCTATGCCACTTGGGAGAGTTTCAGGCCCAAACCAACCCTTCCGAGTGCTCCTCCCATTAAGGCAGCGACGCCCCGTTGGCTGGAGAGGAAACCTAGGGCTCCCGGATCAAAGGATTTCCCAGGATCGCTCTACACTCGCCCCCGCTTTTGCCCGGAGCGGGCGAAGAGTGCGGCTCCGCTGGGACCAGCCCCCTCCTCCCCAGAAGCATTAAGCATGCGCACGAAGGGGGTGGGCCCCAGCGGAGGGGCGGGCCCTAGCGCTCCGGGGATAAAAGGGGTGCGCCCCTCCCCCCAGGGAAGGGAGGGGCGCAGGAGGCGCGTGCGTTGCCACCCGGCCGCATCGCCCCCCTAACCCAGAGAAGGCGGGCCGGGCGAGGGAGGAGAGATTCCGGAGCAAAGGAGGGGGCGGGTCCTCCGGCCACGAGGAGGGGCGTGTGCAAAAGGGGGGAGGGGTGCAGGTCTGTAGGAGAGGACGGGAGGTGTATCGGAGGGGGCTGGCTGCTGGTGGCTGTGCAGGAGGGGGCGACGTGGGGAGGGGCTTGGGTGTCGGGGAAGGGGTGGGGGTTGGGCTGCCTTGGGGTGTGTCTGCGGGGGAGGGGCATGTCTGGATCTGAGGGGGGATGGGCACGTCCAGGAGGGGGCAGGCTGCGCGGGAGATGGGGTGCCAGCCTCGGCCTCCGAGGGGCCCCAATACCTGATTCCTGTATGTAAACAGCTGGTTTGGGGGCGTGCGCGCCCCGCTGACGGTGGGCTCAGTAGGTGAAAACCAGGTCTGCGATGCTAGACGGGCGCCAGTCCCCCGCGATCATCTCGGTAACCTCGGGGGTGCAGTAGTCCGGGAACTCGAAGTGCGACGTGCCCGAGGGAGGCTGCAGGTCCGGGTCGCGATCCAGGGCGCTGCAGTCCAGGCCGGCCGGGCCAGGGGGCAGCCTGGACAGAAAGCCCAGCGACTCCTCCCCCGACGCCACCGTCTCCTCTTCACCTTCCTCAGCCGCTGCCGCCTCCTCCTCCTCTTCCTCCGGCTCCTCGTCCTCCGACGGTGTCGGGGAGGCGGCGGCGGCGGCGGCCGCCCCCTCGCCCGACGGCCCTTGGGCGCGCTCCGCTTGTCCCCGAGCGGCCCGTCCCGCCGGGACCATCCTCCACAGCTCCCGCCCCGGGGTCTCGACCAGGCGCACTTCCAGCAGCTCCTCGTCGTCGTCTTCATCGTCGTCCTCGGGCGCCGCCGCCCCGCCCCCCAAAGGCCCTCCCGCTGCTCGGCGGCCCCCGCGGCCAGGCAGCTGCGGCCCGGGCTTGAGCCGGCTGCCGCCACCGCTACCACCGGGGGGGCGGGGCCGCGCCTTGGCGGGCGCCCCCTTGCTCTTTTTGCGCGGCCGGTACTTGTAGTCCGGGTAATCCGCCATGTGCTTGAGCCGCAGCCGCTCCGCCTCCCGCACGAACGGGATCTTCTCCGAGTCCTGCAGCAGCTGCCAGCGGCGGCCCAGGCGCTTGGAGATCTCGGCGTTGTGCATGTCGGGCCACTGGTCCATGATCTTCCGCCGTTCGTGCTGCGACCACACCATGAATGCGTTCATCGGCCTCTTGATGTGGCCGCTCGGGGTCTTGCACCAGCCGGGCTCGCGCGCCCCCTCCTCGGCCGGCCCGGGTCCCGGGGGCGGCGGCCCGCCGTCCCGCTTGGCCCTCGCGCCCCGCTGCTGCACCATCGCGCCTGGGCCCGGGGCCGCTAGACGCCGCCGGGGGCCGTCCGCATCCTCCGCGGCTGGGGGTGGGGGAGGAGGCAGCGGCGACGGAGGGGCGGCCCCGCCCCGCGGCTCGGCCCGGCCCCCGCGAACTGGGGAGCGAGGAGCTGGGCGCTCGGGCCCAACGGACGGCGGGGGGAGAAGGTCAGCGCGGTCTCAGGCGGGCTCGGCGCGCCCCCGCCGCCTCCGGCAAGTTGCGTCCTGGCTCACAACACACATTGTTTTGCGGGGGCCGAGGAATCGCACCCTCCGGGCCCCCGCGGGCTCTTCCTGCAGCCTCTGGCTCCGCCGCGGCCCGCGCGCGCCGCTCCCCGCCCGGCCGCCGACGCCTTTCAGTGTCTTTCTCCCCGCGCGGCCCCGCCGGCGCGCGCACCACCCCTCCCCCTCGCCGTCTGCGGGCCGCTGCGGCGCGCGCGGGGCCGCCCCGTGTAAACACCGAGGTGCCCGCTTGGGCTGCGGCCGGGCCCCGCCTCGCGCTCGGGCGCCGCGTCACCCGTTGCTGGGCAGAGAAGCCGGTATTTGCATCTCCCAATCGCTGGCCGCCGGAGCGGGGCGGGGCTCGGGCTGCGGGGCTGGGCGGTCTCGCGGCTAGGATTGGGGGAGACCGGCGAGATCGGTTTCTTTTCTTAGGTTAGGGGTTGGAGGAAGGGTAGGGGACGCGAGCCTGCTTCCATCTGACGCTGGACGCTTGTCCCTGCCCCGCGTTGCCTTTTAAATTTTAGCTCATTCCGAGACACCTGCCGTCAGGTAGGATTTCCGCCCTTTCCTCTTTCAGGGACGTCTTTTCGGACCATCCCAGAAGAGAATTTGGGGGGCCCAAGACTCAGGAAAGCTTCTTAAGGGGACGAACTCAGGTTGTCGTAGATGTTGCCCCCCGCCTACTACACACAGGGTCCGACCACATATGGGACCAGCAAATGCTTTTGGACCTAGTGAACAAATCCCTTTCTCATATATATGTATATTTAATCTCGTTCGAAGCTCCATAAGAATCCGGAGGGAGAAGGGAATATGATAATATGATGCCCAGTTTCCAAATAGGAAGCACCGAGGACACGCAGACTAGGATTCGATTCCCAGGCTCGCGGTCCCAGCTGTCTCTCCCCTGCTCAGCACCAAGGGCCGCGGGGCACCTCGCCTGCCAGCCAAAGGTCCTGAGCTGGGCGGACTTCCCGCTTTTCACAAACCGCAGGCGACATTCGAGGATGCGTGGGTGCGCCATTCCCAGGTCCTACCCCACCCCGTAGCCTGCCCGGTGCCCGACTTGGGCGCGTCGCCCCACCCAAGCCTGGAGAAGCGTGCAGGGGCACGGGGCGGAGCCAGTCCTGGGGGCGTGGCCGGGTGGCCGGCACGAGGCGCGTGGCGGGGAGGGGCCGCGCGCTCCCGGCTCACCACGTGTGAGCCAGTTCGGGCACCACTGGGCGTGTGCCGCCCCTGGGGGAGGTCACCTTCACGGCGTCGTGAGCATGGGCGATGGGAGGGGGCGCTGAGGCCTCGCCCTTGGGAAGCAGGAGCTGGGAGGTGCCCGGATTAGGGTCTTTAAGGTGGCATTCCGCTGGGGCGTAGCGGGCATGGTTTGGGGCTAGGAGAATGCGCCTCTGGCGGTACAGCTCACCCACTTCTGGACGAGCGAAGGCCAAGAGCCGAGCTTGAGGGTGTGGGGCGGGGAGGAAGGACCGAGGTGCGGCTCCGCGGCGCGGGGGGCGGGGTGGGGGTGGTGGGGAGAAAGAAATTGGAGCATCCCTGGAGGGAGGGGGCGACTCTTAAAGGCACAGGGTGCTTGGAAGAGGAGGCCCTGCTCCCGTCCAAACGGTCCCTCCGCCTTTCAGAAGCTGAGATCTGGAAAAGCCTACGTGTAAAACCTTTACATCTGCAGCCTGAGCAGTCTACCCGATGGAGTCACACTTCCTGAGTTCACATTCCCAGTCCCTCCTTTTCCTTATCCTGAAAATGGGGATAATTCAGTTTCTCCCTCACATGGTGGTTTTACAGATTAAATGAGATAATGCATGTAAACACATCCTGATACCTAGGCAATGTTCAATAAAACTTATGATAGACGGGACGCGGTGGCTCACACCTGTAATCCCAGCACTTTGGGAAGCCAAGGCGGGCGGATCATTTGAGGTCAGAAGTTCGAGATCCGCCTGGCCGATATGGTGAAACCTTGTCTCTACTAAAAGTACAAAATAATGAGTCAGGCTTGGTGACGCGTACCTGTAATCCCAGCTACTCAGGAGACTGAGGTATGAGAATCGCTTGAACCTAGGAGGCGGATGTTGCAGTGAGCCGCTGCACTCCAGCCTGAGTGACAGAGTGAGACCCTGTCTAAAAAAAAACTAAAAGTTTTGAGAAACTAGATTTCCCAATAGTTACGCAGGTCACCAGCAACCCAGAGACATCACCATAATGAGAAAAAAAAATGGGCAGAGTGGGGACAGCTCTAGGATTTCAGAAAAGGTATCAAAGTAATGATTGTAGGACAAATAAAAGCTTTCTTGGAATTATCAACACCTTAACACTTTTCCCATAAATAAAATATTTGTTTTATTTTAGACGGTGTGTGATAGGTACCACAATCTTTTCAATGCTTATGGCCTCTCAAAGATCTGTCTCTGACCCTGTAGCTGCTGCTGCTATTATTATTCCAATGTATGTGAATAGTTCCTAACCTTACTCACTGCCAAACTGATTTGGACCAGGATTTCACTCTTTATTCTCAGCAGTGAAAATGCTGCATTCATTATTCACACCTGCCTCCTTTCCTTCTTCCATCCATGCATGCATCCATTAATAAACATTTGACCCTGCACAGTGGTTCACAGCTGTAGTCTTAGCACTTTGGGAGGCTGAGGCAGGCAGATCACTTAAGGCCAGGAGTTCAAGACCAGCCTGGGCAACATGGTGAAACCCTTACTCTACAAAAAAAAGTACAAAAATTAGCTGGGCAGGGTGGTGCCTGCCTGTAGTCCTAGCTACTTGGCAGGCTGAGGCAGGAGGATTGCTTGAGCCGGAAAGGTGGAAGTTGTAATGATTGTACCTCTGCACTCCGGCCTGGGAGACAGAGACTTTATCTCAAAATAAATAAATAAATAAATACATAAACAAACATTATTAATACTTACCATTCCTTAGGCCCTTTGACGGACTCTGAGGAGCTAGAGATGGTTAAAGTCTGGCTGAACCTAGGCCCTGGAAGAACCTTGGACTGCCTTCCCCAGTGTAGACACCAGGACTTATTAATGACAGAGAAGATGGTGTGGGAAGTTCAGCCGAGAAGATAATGTCTTCACTTTTGTTTTTTTCATTTTCTTCCTCAACAGACATTTATGCAGTGTGTGATTCTTTCTAAAACAACTCCCTGGAAGAGAGGACATTTAATTCAACAATTTATTGGCCACCTACTGTGCACCAGGCAGTGAACTTGGAACTGGGGCTACTGGGTTACAGCAGTGACCAAGACAGAGGTCCCTGTTCTTAAGGAGCAAGTGAGGGCAACAGAAAAGAGCAGGTAAACAAATAAGATAATTTCAGATAGTTGTGACTGCTATAAAGAAAATAAAGCTGGGCTGGGTGTGGTGGTTCACGCCTGTAATCCCTGCACTTTGGGATGCCAAGGCGGGAGAATCGCTTGAGCCCAGGAGTTTCAGACCAGCCTGGGTAACATAGAGAAATCCCACCTCCACAAAAATTCAAAAATTAGCCGGGCATGGTAGCAAGCACCTGTCATCTCAGCTTCTGGGGAGGCTGAGGTGGGAAAACGCTTAAGCCAGAGATTTTGAGGCTGTAGTGAGCTATGATGGTGCCACTGCACCCCAGACTGGGTGATGGAAAGAAGGGAGGGAGGGGCTGGGCAAGGTGGCTCACATCTGAAATCCCAGCGCTTTGAGAGGCTGAGGTGGGCAGATGCTTGAGCCTAGAAGTTCAAGACCAGCCTAGGCAACATGGCAAAAGCCTGTCTCTACAAAAAATACAAAACAGCCAGGTGTGATGGCCTGTGCCTTTAGTCCTAGCTACTTGGGAGGCTGAGGCAGGAAGATCGTTTGAGCCCGGGAAGTTGAGGCTGCAGTGAGCTGTGATCGTACCACTGCACCCCAGCCTGTGGGACAGAGTGAGACCCTGTCTCAAACGACAATGAAAAGAAAACAAGGTAATGAGAGAGTGAGTGACTGGGACGGGGGATGATAGAGATGGGGGAGAGTTTAGATCTCAAGATGACGAAGAACCATCCATGTAAAACATTCCAGGCAGAGGAAACAGCAAGTGCAAGGGACTGGAGATGGGAAGGAGACTGGGACGAGGTATTGAGAGGGCATGGATAGGTGCCAAGACCAGAGATGGGGGAGTGTACATGAGGAATACGATGCGTTTATGTTGAGCTGGAGCTGAAGGGCAATACGGTAGTTGGTCCTCAGAAGCCAAGTTATGGAGTTCCCTGGGTTGTGGGGAGCCAGGGACAGTTTTTTTATTGCAGGATGACATGATCAGAGGTACGCTTCAGCAAGATTAAGGAGTTTCATGTGTTGTAGTTGGATTGGAGGAGGGAAATTTGGGGGGAAAGATCAGCTGGAAATTTTCTTGTGTTTCAAAAACATGTTCACAAATTCTTTTTTTTTTTTTCTTTTTGAGATGGAGTCTTGCTCTGTCACCCAGGCTGGAGTGCGGTGGCGCCATCTCGGCTCACTGCAAGCTCCGCCTCCCGGGTTCACGCCATTCTCCTGCCTCAGCCTCCCCAGTAGCTGGGACTACAGGCGCCTGCCACCACGCCCTGCTAATTTTTGTTGTATTTTTTTAGTAGAGACAGGGTTTCACCGTTTTAGCCAGGATGGTCTCAATCTCCTGACCTCATGATCCGCCCCCCTCAGCCTCCCAAAGTGCTGGGATTACAGGCATGAGCCACTGCGCCCGGCCCTTCACAAATTCTTTAATGTTCCTTCCTTCAAAAGGAAGAGCCTAATTCCTCCTCCCCTTCCCAGTTAAGTGTGAACTTGCCTCTAACTAATAGAATATGGCAGAAGTGATGGTTTGTGATATCTAAGATTGGACATAGAAAGCTCTATGTTTTCCTCCTGGCTGTCTTATTTTGTATCATTTATTCTGGGAGAAGTCAGCTGTCATGCGAGGGCACTCAAGCAGCCCTGTGGAAAGCTCTACGTGGTGAGAAACTGAAGCCTCCTGCCAACACCAACAAGGAACTGAGACCTACTTCCAACAGCCATCTGAGTGATCGATCCATCCTGGAATCAGATCCTCCAGCCCCAGTCAAGTCTTCAGATGACTGCAGCCCTGACCAGCATCTCAACTGCAACCTCGTGAATGACCCTGAGCCAGAACCATGCAACTAAACTCTGCGTGGATTCATGACCCACAGAAACTGTGAGATGGTAGCTGTTTGCTTTGTTAAGCCTCTAAGTCTGGAAAGAATGTCTTAAGCAGTAGCAGACAATGAACACAAGATTATTATTCAGCTGTTGAATTGGAAGAGGAGGGGAAGAAAAAATTTTCAGATCACAAAATATTCATTGTGTAAAACTTCAAAAATTCTGAAATTTAAGGAAAAAATATCATTTGTTGGGAATTTGTTGGGATTCATTGTCTCAGTGCCAAGAGACACCCACTCTTTTTTTTTTTTTGAGACAGAGTCCTGCTCTGTTGCCCAGGCTGAAGGGCAGTGGCACGATCTCAGCTCACCACAACCTCTGCCTCCCGGGTTCAAGTGATTCTCCTCCCTAAGCCTCCCAAGTGGCTGGGACTACAGGCATGCATCACCATGCCCGGCTAATTTTTGTATTTTTAGTAGAGACGGGGTTTCACTATGTTGGCCGGCTGATCTCAAACTCTTGACCCCGTGATCCGCCCGCATCAGCCTCCCAAAGTGCCGGGATTACAGGCATGAGCCACTGCGCCCGGCCGAGACACTCACTCTTAACATTTTGGTATATTTTTTCTCTCTGCACATTTTTTATCCAGCTGACTTTATTTTGTCTCCTGAAATCTTCATTTTTAAATTATAGCTTCAGCATTTAAGAAAATGTGTCTAACAAAGTCTTCGCAAGCATACATTTTTCCCATAGTTAGTATACTTAGAATTTATTTGTCAAGCAATTTTGAAGGGCTTTCACTATGAAAAACTTTAGGGCTTATTGATATTCTCTTTAAGTAGAAGTATGTTTTTTATTATTACAAAAGTTATATATGTATATATATGGTGTTTGTGTTTGTGTGTGTGTGTGTGTGTGTGTGTGTGTGTGTGTGGAGTCTCGCTCTGTCACCAGGCTGGAGTGCAGTGGCGTGATCTCAGCTCACTGCAACTTCCTCCTCCCAGGTTCAAGCGATTCTCCTGCCTCAGCCTCCTGAGTAGCTGGAACTACAGGTGCGTGCCACCACGCCTGGCTAATTTTTGTATTTTTAGTAGAGACGGAGTTTCGCCATGTTGGTCAGGCTGGCCTCGAATTCCTGACCTCAAGTGATCCGCCCGCCTCGGCCTCCCAAAGTTTTGGGATTACAGGCATGAGCCACTGCGCCCGGCCTTATACTGAATTATATAAGGCGAAAAGTGAACGTCTCCTGTAATCTAGAAAAATGGCATTATAATGAGTAAATTTTAAATTTTAATGTAATTTTCCAGAATTTTTTTTTTTTGAGACGGGACGGAGTCTCACTCTGTTGCCCAGGCTGGAGTGCAGTGACGCGATCCTGGCTCACCGCAACCTCTGCCTCCCACGTTCAAGCGATTCTCCTGCCTCAGCCTCCCAAGTAGCTGGGACTACAGCCGCCCACCACTGCGCCCGACTAATTTTTGTATTTTTAATAGAGACGGGGTTTCGCCATATCGGCCAGGCTGGTCTGGAACTCCTGACCTTGTGATCTGCCCGCCTTGGCCTCCTAAAGTGCTGGGATTATAAGCGTGAGCCACCGTGCCCGGCCTTTTTTTTTTTTCGACAAGGTCTCTCCCTGTCACCCAGGATGGGGTGCAGTGGCGCAATCACAGCTCACTGCAGCCTCAACCTCTTGGGCTCAAGTGATCTTCCCACGTCAGTGTCCCAGGTAGCTGGGACTACAGACGCGTACCACCACACAGGGCTAATTTTTTGTATTTTTTATAGAGACTGAGTTTTGCCACGTTGCCCGAGCTGGTCTCAAATTCCTGGGCTTAAGCGGTCTGCCCACCTTGGCCTCCCAAAGTGCTGGGATTACAGGCATGAGCCACTTCACCTGGCCATCCAGAAACTTAAATGCTTATAATCACATGCACACATAGTTTTTTTTACACAAGTGGAATGTTACTATATGTAATTTCTAGTAACCTGCTTTTTTCACATCTCTTTTCTCTTTCCATGTAGTGCGTAGGTTCTCGTCCAGGTCTGCCGAGTATATTGTAATTCATTTAATCAGTTCTTTTTTTTTTAGAGACGGAGTTTCACTCTTTTTGCCTGGGCTGGAGTGCAATGGCGTGATCTCGGATTACTGCAAACTCTGCCTCCTGGGTTCAAATGACTCTGCTGCCTCAGCCTTCCAAGTAGCTGGAATTACAGGCGTGCATCACCACGCCTGGCTAATTTTGTGTTCTTATTAGAGATGGGGTTTCACCATGTTGGTCAGGCTGGTCTCGAACTCCTGACCTCAGGTGATCTGCCCACCTCGGCCTCCCAAAGTGAATCAGTTCCTTCTTGAAAGACATTTTGATTGTTTTACCCCTTTTTGCTATTATAAACAATATGGCAGTGAACACCTTTGTATGTATGTTTTTGGCCACTTATTTATTTAGAGATGGAGTCTCGCTCTGTCGCCAGGCTGGAGTGCAGTGGCGCAATCTTGGCTCACTGTAATCTCCACCTCCTGGGTTCAAGCGATTCTCTTTCCTCAGCCTCCTGAGTAGCTGGGATTACAAGTGTGCGCTACCACACCCAGCTAATTTTTATTTTTTTTTGAGACGGATTCTCGCTTTGTCACCCAGGCTGGAGTGCAGTGGCTTGATGTCGGCTCACTGCAAGCTCTGCCTCCCGGGTTCACACCATTCTCCTGTCTCAGCCTCCCGAGTAGCTGGGACTACAGGCGCCCGCCACCATGCCCGGCTAATTTTTTTTTTTTTGTATTTTTAGTAGAGCTGGGTTTTCACCGTGTTAGCCAGGATGGTCTCGATCTCCTCACCTTGTGATCTGCCTGCCTTGGCCTCCCAAAGTGCTGGGATTACAGGCGTGAGCCACCGTGCCCGACCTGTATTTTTAATAGAGATGGGGTTTCACCATGTTGGCCAGGATGGTCTCGATCTCCTGACCTCATGATCTGCCTGCCTCAGCCTCCCGAAGTGCTGGGATGACAGGCGTGAGCCACTGCACCCGGCCTGTCTGTTATTTCTTTAGGAAAAATTCATACACAGAGACTCCACAATATAACAGAACAGACATTTAAACTGGCTGTCCCCCAAACACAACAGGCTTGGGCCTACCTCAGGGCCCTCATTCATGCTGTCTCCTTTGTCTGGAACTCTTTTCACCCCCATCCCCACATGGGCTGGAGCATCTACTCATCCTAGCTTCGGCTCAAACGGGCTCCCCAGAGAGGACTGTCCTGACCACTCTCTGCCGTTTCCCGTTCATCTCCCTCTGTCTCAGGTATACAGAATCGCTTCATCTGCGACACATTCTCATTGTTGCCTGTGATTCCCTCACTTTATGCTTGTGTGGGTTTTTTTTAGAGACCTGGTCTTGCTCTGTTGCCTGGGCTGGAGTACAGTGGTGCGATCATAGCTCACTGCATCCTGGAACTTCTGGGCCCAAGTGATCCTCCTGCCTCAGCCTCCCAAGTAGTTAGGACTACAGATGCATGCCACCATGGCTGGCTAATTTCGAAAAATTTTTTTTGTAGAGGCAGGTTCTCACTATGTTTCCTAGGCTGGTCTTGAACTCCTGGGCTCAAGCGATTTTCCCACCACAGCCTCCCAAAGTGCTGGGATACAGGTGTGAGCCACCATGCCTGGCCCTGTGTGTATTTATTTTTACATAACATAATAAAAATCTGTGGAGTCAGCAATCTGACACAAGAACTGGAACATTGATAACCTGTTTTCCCCAATGAATTCCTTTACCATCCCATCTCCTGCCTTCCTTCACCTGAGGTAATGTCTATCCTGATTCTTCCAGAACATTAAAAAAAAAAAAAAACAGCTTTGTTGAGATGTAATTCACATACCACACTATTCAGTCATTTATAGTTTACAATTCAGTGGCTTTCAGTGCATTCACAGAGTTGTGTAACTGTTGCCACAATGGATTTTAGACTATTTTCATCATCCCCAAAAGAAACCATTAGCATCAGTACTCATTAGCAGTCACTCTCCCATCTGCTCTGCCTTCCCTCTAATCCCCAGCCCTAGGCCACCATTAATCTGCTTCTGTATCCATGGATTTGTCTCTTCTGGACAGTTCATGTAAAGAGAATCATACAACATGTGGCCTTTTGTGCCTGGCTTCTTTCACTTAGCATCATGATTTCTAGGTTCATCTATGTTGTAGCATGTATCAGAACTTCCTTTTTATTGCCAAATAATATTCCATTATAGGCCAGATGTGGTGTCTCATGCCTACAATCCCAACACTTTGGGAAGTAGAGGTTGGAAGGATTGCTTGAGCCCAGGAGTTCGAGACGAGTCTGGGCAACATAGTGAGACCCCGTCTCTAAAAATAGAAAAATTAACTGGGCCTGGTGGTGTGTGCCTATAGTCCTAGTTACTTGGGAGACTGAGTCAGGAGGATCTCTTGAGCCTGGGAGTTCCAGGCTGCAGTGAGCCATGATCACACCACTGCACTCCAGCCTGGGTGACAGAGTGGAACTGTCTCAAAGAAAAAAATATATATATGGCCAGGTGTGGTGGCTCACATCTGTAATCCCAGCACTTTGGAAGGCTGAGGCAGGAGGATCATGAGGTCAGGAGATGGAAACCATCCTGGCTAACACGATGAAACCCATCTCTACTAAAAATACAAAAAATTAGCCGGGCGTGGTGGCACGGGCCTGTAGTCCCAGAAGGCTGAGGCAGGAGAATCGCTTGAACCTGGGAGGCAGAGGTTGCAATGAGCGGAGATTGTGCCACTGCACTCCAGCCTGGGCGACAGAGTGAGACTCGGTCTCAAAATAATAATAATAATAATAATAATAATAATACCTATTCTTAATGATACCTGAAGGCAGGATGAAGCCAACTCAGGTGTGGGTGTGGCTGTTGTAGGTACTGTCGTGTTACTCCACTCACCCTAACTGTGTCTAGCTCCAAAATACCTATTTGCCAACTGGCATGGTCCTCAAAGACATTCATAATGAGAAGAGAACAATAGGGACAAGGTAATTTCTTTTTTGATTCATCTAAATTTCCTGATTTTAAAAAAGTCAGGCCAGGGGCAGTGGCTCGCACCTGTAATCCCAGCACTTTTGGAGGCTGAGGCAGGCAGATCACCTGCGGTCAGGAGTTTGAGACCAGTCTGACCAACATGGAGAAACCCCGTCTCTACTAAAAATACAAAATTAACTGGAGGTGTTGGCGCATGCCTGTAATCCCAGCTACTCAGAAGGCTGAGGGAGGAGAATTACTTGAACCTGGGAGGCAGAGGTTGCAGTGAGCCAAGATAGCGCCATTGCACTCCAGCCTGGGCAACAAGAGCAAAACTCCATATCAAAAACAAAAACAAACAAACAAACAAAAAAAGCCAGTGGCTCATACCTATAATCCCAGCACTTTGGGAGGCTAGCTTGAGCCTAGGAGTTTGAGACCAGCCTGGGCAAAATATTGAGACCCACATCTCTACAATAAATAAAAAATTTACCAGTTGTGGTGGTGCACATTTGTGGTCCCAACCACTGGGGAGGCTGAGGTGGGAGGATCACTTGAGCCCAGGAGGTTGAGGCTGCAGTGAGCAGTGATCACCCCACTGCACTCCAGCCTGGGCAACAGAGCAAGACAGTGTCTCAAAAAAAAAAAAAAAAAAAGAAAAATCAGAGATTATGATAGTGTGTGCATTACAAGGTCTCTTTTCTTTTGTATGTGTGTGAGATGGCATCTCCCTCTGTTGCCCAGGCTGGAGTGCAGTGGCATCATCATAGCTCACTGCTACCTCAAACTCTGGGGCTCAAATGATCTTCCCACCTCAGCCTCCTGAGTAACTGAGACTACAGGTCCTTTCTTTTCACTAAATAATAAGAGATCTTTTAAAAAACAATATAGCTAGGCACGGTGGCTCACACCTGTAATCCCAACACTTTGGGAGGCCGAGGCGGGCAGATCACGAGGTCAAGAGATCGAGACCATCCTGGCCAACATGGTGAAACCATGTCTCTACTAAAAATACAAAAGTTAGCTGGTCTTGGTGATACGTACCTGTAGTCTCAGCTATTTGGGAGGCTGAGGCAGGAGAATCGCTTGAACCCAGGTGGTGGAGGTTGCAGTGAGCCGAGATTGTGCCATTGCACTCCAGCCTGGTGACAGAGCAAGACGCAGTCTCAAAAACAAAACTCAGAAACCAATATAATAGTATAAACTGCACAGCGGCTATTGAGTACTTGAAATGTGGCTAATATAGCTGGGCACAGTGGCACACATTGTAGTCCCAGCCACTTTTGAGGTTGAGGCAGGAGGATTGCTTGAGCCCAGGAGTTCAAGGCTGTAGTGCCCTATGATTGCACCTGTGAGTAGCCACTGTACTCCAGCCTAGGCAACAGCAAGACCCCTGTATCAAAACAAACAAAAGAAGTGTGGCTATTAGACATATTACAAATATTCCCAGAGGTGACTCAGAAGTTAATCATAGAAGTCAAACTTTGCTTATTGTTATGAGTCTCTAGGGAGTACTTCAACTCATTTGCATCTGTTTCCTCATCTTCAAAATGGGACAGTGTAATTCTGGACCTGGGACATAGTAAGGATTCAATGGGTGGCAGCTGTGACAAGAGCAACAACAAAAATATTGTGCGTCTTTCTTTTTTTTAATAATGGCACAAAAAGGCAAAACCATAGATACAGTAAACGGATGTGTGGTTGCCAGTGTTTGGCGGGGAGAGGGTTCAATAAGTGAGCACAGGGGGTTTTTTAGGGTGAAGAAATGTGGGTATATGACTGTGCATTGGTTGATATCCATTAAACTTAATAGCACAAAAAGTGAACCTTAATGCATGCAAAGTTAAAAAAATCACTTAGGACATTTAGATAATTCCAAAATGTCATGCAGAATATGACAAACATCTTCACCGTATTACAAATGTGTGAAATGACCTCATGAAGAGGATAGAGGAAAACGTGCTGACCTAAGTAACTTTAGAAATGAGTGGGCCAGGCGTGGTGGCTCATGCCTTTAATCCCAGGACTTTGGGAGGCTGAGGCGGGAGGATCACTGGAGCCCAGGAGTTGGAGACAAGCCTAGGCAACATAGTGAGATCCCATCTCTACAAAAATTTTAAAAAATTAGATGGGTGTAGTGGCGCATGCCTGTAGTCCCAGCTACTTGGGAGGCTGAGGCAGGAGGATCACTTAAGACTGGGAAGTCAAGGCTGCTGTGAGCTGTGATGGCCCCGCTGCACTCCAGCACTCCAACCTGGGCAACAGAGTGAGGCTCTGTCTCAAAAAAAAAAAAAAAAGAAAAAGAAAAAAGAAACAAGTGGAGTCTGCTGGAACACTAAAGGCAAAAGAAAGTGTTCAGAAGAATGTACTCTACTTGATAAAGTTTCCCACAGGGGTATGGGTTAACAATTTTGATAATCCTACACATGTATACTGGACTTGAACAATTAAGTAAATGGATGGTGGATGTGGATGATGGGAACCAGGTTTCCCGTTATTGGAGTGGGAATTTAGAGATAAGCAAGCAGGAAGCAAGCCAAATGATCCCTGGATTCAAGTGGTAAATATAAACAGGAACTCATGTTTAGCTTAATATATATACAGATGGTTACAAATGGAAATATAGATATGTGTGTATATATATACACATTGGTATATACAGATATATTTCTTTGTTCTGTCAGTTGAGAAGGCTTAAAAGAAATGATACCCCAAGGCCAGGTGTGGTGGCTCACGCCTGTAATCCCAACACTTTGGGAGGCCAAGGCAGGAGGATGGCTTGAGGCCGGGAGTTGTATCAGTCTGGGCAACATGGCAAGACCTTATCTCTACAAAAAAAAAAATTGAAAATTAAAATTAGCTGAGTGTGGTGGCACACACCTGTGGTCCTAGCTACTCAGGAGGCTAAGGAGGGAGGATCACTTGAGCCCAGGAGGTCTAGGCTGCAGTTTTTATTGTCTTTAAATTCTCTTCAGATAATTTACCCCCGCATTGCCTACACAGCACACTGCAGAGTGCTGGGCAACTTGGTAATTAACCCTCTAATTGTGTAAACTGGAAGCTTCGTGAGGTTATGGCTTCATTACCATGGCTACGTGGCTGTAGCCATGAGTGTGCACTCCAGTGTGGGTGATGGAGTGAGACTCTGTCTCAAAAAGGAAGGGAGGGAGGGAGGGAGGGAGGAAGGAAATAAATGACACCCTAGTAGCAATGAGTGCACCTAGCGCCCAGTTCTTGGTTTCTAATAAATACCCTTCTCCGAAACAATCAAAGCTCTTGCGAAATGGCTGATTTGAGGACTGGGGCAGGAAATACGAAAGATGAGCCTGAGGCATCTTGTAGTGCCAGAAAGTAAGGAAGTGCTTGACGGCAACGAGAAAACCCCACAAAAATAGGGGTGTGTCAAAGGGAGACGGGAGCCAACCGAAAGAGCTCCCAAAAGCCAAAGCTGGAACAACTTGAGCAACAAAATCAAATAGTATTGGATTATAACCTAAAGTATTAAATAATTATCTGTGAATCCATACTGATATAAATAAATTACTGAATAAATGAGACAAATCTTCAGTGTAGAAAAATCCCAAATAATCTATGTAGCTATTCCAACCTTAAGGAGATAGAGCATAACTCCTCACTTAAGTGTGGCCCGAGCATAGTGACTTCCTTCCAAAGAGTACAGTATGAAAAGGGGCAAAAGAAGACTGACTTTCCAGTAGAGAAACCTGACGCAGCACCAACAGTGATGTCATGTTGCTATGTGAGAAACCGCCCCAGCCAAGAGGAGCCCAGAGAGACACGACAGCTAGTGCGATGAGGCATGCTGGATGGATCCTGGAGTAGAAAAAGATGGAGTAGAAAAAGAACGTTGGGTAAAAACGAAGGAAATCTGAATAAACTGTGAACTCTAATTAATAAATAATGTATCATTATTGGTTTATTAATTGGAACAAATATACCATGCGTCTGCAATACCATATGTGATGTTAATAGCAGAAACACCAGCCTGAGCAACATGGCGAGACTTCATCTCTATGAAAAATGCAAAAATCAGCTGGGCTTGGTGGCATGCCCCTGTAGTCTCTGCTACTTGGGAGGCTGAGGTGGGAGGATCGCCTGAGCCTGGGAGGCGGAGGTTGCAGTGAGCCGAGATCGCGCCACTGCACTCCAGCCTGGGTGAAAGAGCGGGACCCTGTCTCAATAATAATAATAATAATGAAAGAAACAGGGTGGGTGGCTGGGGTAGACGGGAACTTTATATTCACAATTTTTCTGTAAATCTAAAAGTGTTCTAAAAAATTGAAGTTTTTTTTTTGTAATGGCAAACGGGTTTTAAAAACACATTTGGTTTATTTAGACTCCAGAGTGTCAGAGCCATTTACGCAGCCCGCCTCAAAAACAGAATTTCTTCCATGGATTAAGAGAAATATTCATTTATCCTCCAGTTGTAATGTTCTGAACCAGGAATTAGATGGTTCAGTAAAAGTTGCCTACCAACTAATTAAGTCAATGTCTCATGAACTCTGCATCAAAAAACTCGGTATCTTTAATTTTGTATGCATTTGAAATACAAAGGAAAGATGACTAGTTCCTTGATCATTTTAAGTTAAATTAAAATACCTATAATGAAAGACATTCATATAGAGCAGACTATATCATCCCATTGCCTACATTTTCATTTCCTAAAATTGTTTTAGTAGAGAATGGTATATATTGTTGCGTAATTGAAACAGTTTTGCTCTCCTTAAATAAAATAGCAGCCAAAGATTATTCAGGGTGCAGCTGACAGAGGCCTTACTGCCAATTCCTTCTGATCTGGAGAATTCCTAAAAAAAAAAAAAAAAATATCGAGTCTTCTTGTTACACCGAAGAGAAGGAGGGCAGGGTCGAAGCGCATTGGTGGTGTCCCTGGGCCGAGGGCAGGGCTCTAAGTCACGGGACCTGCTGATTGGTGGACTCCCCAGAGCTGGGGGGCGGGGCCTCTGGCGATGGAGCTCGGAGTCCATTGGCTGCGAGGCTAGAGGATGGTGTAATGGACAGCATCGGCCTGTGCGGCCGGTTTCTATGGCAACGGAGGCTTGAAAGAGCCACTCAGATTTCGGCGCTCGCCCCCAACTCCCCTTTCCGGAGGGGGCAGGGCGGCCTGGATTTGGGGGCCGGCGGAGGAGGCGTGGGGGCTGGGAGTTAAGGAGACAGGGCTTTCCTTGGACCAAACCAACCCAGCAATGCCACATTGGAAGTGGGTTTGAGGAACCGGGCCTGCGTGCTCATTTGAAAAAAAATCAGCCAAACAGAAAGGTATGAAGAAGAAACACCTATAATTCCATCCTTCCCTGACTTCTCCACTCGTAACATTTTGAACAGCAAAGCTTGGCACAGAACTGGCACTCAATGGGAGGAAGAGAGGGAGGGAAGGAAGGAAGGGGAGAAGGGGAGGGAGGGTCGATGATGTGGACAACGTGGCGTGACACGAAGTGCCCGCCCCCTTGGGCTGAAAGTCACAGGCAGGCCCGCAGAGCTGACGGGATATAACAGACTTGGATTTGGGGGCTTGGAGGAGGAGGGGTGGGACAGCCAAAGGCTCCTTGATTCCATCCCGGGATTTGGGAGGCCTGACTGCAGAAAGACTCCTCTCCGGCTTCACACCCCGCCAGCCCTGCCACTTGCAGCCGCCAGTGCTTCCAGTCTCCAGATCCCTGTGTCTTTGTGTTTGGGGAATAATAAACAGTGCCTGCTTCATCGAGTTGGTGTCAGAACTGAGTTAATGCATGGAAAGTTCTTAATACAATGCCTGAAACGTAGTAAACGTGCAATCAACCAGCTATTATCACAATTGAAGACGGTGGGATTTGACTAGGTGGAGAGAATGGGGAGGTTATTGGCTGTGGGTAAGGAGGCAGGAGGGAGCAGCCGTGTTGAAACCCTGCAAAGAGAGCAGTTTGGAGATCATACAGGAAGTCATAGGAGACGACAGCCAGAGGGCATTCTTCTCAAGCCCTTGACATGGATTATTTTATTTCATTTTCTCACCAGCCCTGATAATGTAGTTATTACCATAGACCCATTTTCCTGCTCAGGAAACTGAAGTTCAGAGAGGTTATGTAGCTTGTCTATGCAAAGAAATGACAGAACCAAATGGGCATTTGTGGGGCTCAGAACAAGAGTAGAGTTGGAGGCCCATATACCATATGTCTCTATAGTTAGAAATTATACAACAGTCCAGCAAGTGTTAAATGAAATATGTTCTGTTTTCTTCCTTGATGGATATATCCTCTAACAACCTGGAAGGCCATGTTCAAATTAGAATTCTAAGACCCTTGGAGTTATGTGCCAGAATGTGTAGGCCCAAGGAGACCTGTCCCCTGGAACCTGTATCCATCCCTTATCCAGCTACCTCTCATCCCATCAGTGATGGAGCTAGCATGCATGGGTCAACACCTAGCTGTCACCTGCAAACAGCTATCTTGAGGCCCAAGGCTCAGGTCTATAAGATGTGCATCAGGCAGTATAGTTTGCCCTCAGGTGAGATGAAGCCAGGGATGAGGCCCACAAAGAGCCCTGTGAATTAACTTAGTGACATTTTGGAAGGGAATTATCGGGTATCAGAGCGTGTTCTAGAAGGCATAGGCACAGACTCTGGGTGGGCACTTCTCATGCCTGCAGAATCCTCGCCCCAAGGGGAGGGGTGGTGGGGGACTCAGGGAAGGGGCCACTCTTGCCAGGCTTCAAAGCCACGCATTCAGAATCCAGGAGCCTGGTGCTTCTCCCCTGTGCCTCACAGTGCCATGGGGCATGCTGGCTGACTTCCAGTGATTTTATGCTCTCAGAGAAATAGAGGAGGATGAGCTAGTAAACCGAGGGCCTGACCTCCCAGGTCCTATCCTCCCTTATCAAAGGTGGGAAAACTAAAAGAGTGAGTTAGCTTTTAAAAGATGAATGAATAAGCCCTTGTTCAGTATGTGTCAATGACAGAGTGCTAAGGTATGTTAAGTATATTAAAGAAGGACAAGTAGACACGTGTCTTAATCTGTAACCTCAGCCAAGTGATTCTAGATCATGCATGCAATAAATATTTATTAGGCTTTACTCTGTGCCAGGCATAGTGCTAATTGCTCAAGCTATAACCGTGAGCCAAAAGAGACTGGTTCCTGCCCTCAGGGAGCTCAAAGTGGAGAGGCAGAGGCAGATATCAATCAAACCATGGCACAAATAAGTATATCATTGCACCCGAGTAACTGCTGAAGGAGAGGCCAGGGAGGTAACGGACGGTGTAAGAGGGTCTGATACAGGATGTTAGGGTAGGCTCTAGTTAGGAAGCAGCATTAGAGCTGAGTGCCCCAGGCAGGTAAGGATTAACCATGGGTAGGGGAGGAAGAGATCTGCTTCCAGGAATGACCAGCTGGAGCAGAAGGGGAAGCCAAGCCAGGGTAAGAGGGGGAGGCCCGACAAGAGAGGAGGCCCAGAGGAGGCAGGGCTGGTCAGGCAGGCCCTGGTGAACACCAGGGAGGACGCAAAATCTTTGAAGTTCTTTAAGCGGGGGAGAAATGTGATCAAGTTTTGTTTTGGGGTGGATTCCATGGTTGGAAGGAGAGGGAGCCTGGAAGCAGGGAGACCAATGTGTTGTCTGCTATAGAATTTCTTAAACTCTTCCATCAAAGTTCTTATTTTTTATTTTTATTTTATTTTATTTTATTTTTAGAGACAGGGTCTCACTCTGCGGCCCAGGCTGGAGTGCAGTGGTGCCATCACGGCTCACTGCAGCCTCAACCTCAAGTGATCCTCCTGTTTCAGCCTCCCAAGTAGCTGGGACCACAGGCATGTACCACCACACCCAACGATTTGTTTTTTTTTTGTAGAGACAGGATATCCCTGTGTTGCCTCAGCTGGCCTCAAACTCCTGGGCTCAAGCAGTCCTCCTGCCTTGGCTTCCCAAAGTGTTGGAATTACAGGCATGAGCCACTAAGCCCGGCCTTTACTTTTAAAGATAGAGGAGATGGACTCCTGTCTCTCTAAAGTCTATAGGAATTTCGTTGAAGTCTTGTGTTTTGCATTTATTTTTGTTGTTAAAAGTTGTTTTTGTTGTTGTTAGAGATAATAGATGAAATATTTTTTTAAAAGCAGGGATACACAGTGGAAAATAAACTTTCCTTTTATCCCAAACCCCAAATATCCAGTTCTCCAAAGTTACAAATTACGAATTTCATTAATATCCTTCCAGTGTTACATATTTGTACAAAAATAAGCATATGTATATATATTTTTTCTTTTTTAAAATCTTTCCTATGGTGCTGAGGGTATGTATGTATTTATTCCAACATTAAAAAATGTAAACTGTAGGATACCATATCTTGCTTTTTTTCATTTAATAATGTGTCTTAGAGATTGTTCCATATTAATACATATAATTTGTTCCGTGCACACCTGGCTACTAGGGAGGCTGAGGCAGGAAGATTGCTATGTTGTCCAGGAGTTTGAGTCTAGCCTGGGCAACATAGCAAGACCCTGTCTGTATAAAAAAATAAAATAAAATCTTTCTTGGGCTGGGTGTGGTGGCTTACACCTGTAATCCTACCACTCTGAGAAGCCAAGGTGGAAGGATCACTTGAGGGCAGGAGTTCAAGACCAGCCTGGCCAACATATTGAGACCCTGAAGAAAGAAAAGAAAGAGAAAGAAAGAAGAAGGAAGGAAGGAAGGAAAGAAGGAAGGAGAGAGAGAAAGGGAAGGAAAGGAAGGAAAGGAGGAAGGAAGGAAGAAAGAAAAGAAAAGAAAAAGAAAAGAAAGAAAGAGAAGAAAGAGGAGAAAGAAAGAGAGAGGCTGGGAGTGGTGGCTCACGCCTGTAATCCCAGCACTTTGGGAGGCCGAGGCAGGCGGATCACGAGGTCAGGAGATTGAGACCATCCTGGCTAATGCGGTGAAACCCCATCTCTACTAAAAATACAAAAAATTAGCCGGGCGTGGTGGCGGGTGCCTGTAGTCCCAGCTACTTGGGAGGCTGCAGCTGTGCCAGGCACAGTGATGGATATATCCCGGGAGGGGATATATCCACAGTGAACCCGGGAGGCAGAGGTTGCAGTGAGCCGAGATTGTGCCACTGCACTCCAGCCTGGGCAACAGAGTGAGACTCCGTCTCAAAAAAAAAAAAAAAAAAAAAAAGAAAGAAAGAAAAAATTAGCTGGGTGTGGTGGTGTGTGCCTGTAGTCTCAGTTACACAGGAGGCTGGGGCAGAAGTATTGCTTGAGCCCAGGAGTTGTAGGCTGTAGCGAGCCACGCAGTGAGCCACTGCACTCCAGCCTGGTTAACAAAGTGAGACCCTGCCTCAAAAAAAAAAAAAGTCATATTTTATTTAAAACTCTGCAAAGTTTACATTCTTTTCCATAATATATCTGTGTTTATTTTCTTTTACTATGTCCTACCCCAAATCTTAGTCACATTGACAAGCCAGCAAATGGGGCTGTATGTATCAGTGCCTTTGTACACGTTTGGTGCACTCCTGTGGCGCCCCCACCCTCAACTCAGCATGATCTGACGTCTCCTCACCCTTAGCTTGGTCCTTTTATTTATTTATTTAGAGATGGAGTCTCGCTCTGTTGCCCAGGCTAGAGTGCAGTGTGGCACAATCTCGGCTCACTGCAACCTCTGCCTCCCACTGAAACGGGAAAAGTTCCCTTGTCCCCGTCCCAGGGCGTGTGACAAGGGGAGTGGCTCACTTCTTCAGTGTCCCGCTGCTCAAACCTCTAGGGGAGCATACAGATGGGCAGGTTGTGGGGCTCCGACCCCACGAGTGTCTAGTGGTGGATGTTTACAGCTCCTGAAGCCCCAATGGGCTTATGCTACCGTATGCTCTTAGTTTTGCCATCTATAGGTGGCTTGTGTTAACCAGCTCAATTAGACACTCTACCTTGTTGCAAGGACAGAGGGCTTTCTGTATCCTGGGTTCTTGCCTTGGTGTACCAGAAGAATTGGATCACACCTGGGCTTGAAGAATTAGTGCAAGGTTTTATTGAGTGGAGGTATCTCTCAGCAGATGGAGGAAGCCAGAAGGGGATGGAGTGAGAAGGTTTTCCCCTGGAGTTGGACTGTTCAGTGGCCCAGGCTCCCCTCCGACTGCCCCAGCCAAACTCTGCATAGTTCTGTTGGTCGATGGCCTGTGGTGTGCTGGTTTGTCAGTGCCTGTCGGTGCGTTCCTCTCGACGTCCAGCCGCTTGTGTGTTCCTCCACTGATGTGCTCCTCTAGCCGTCCAGTTACCTGTGTGTCTGCCTGCTAGGGTTTTTATAGGCACAGGATGGGGGCGTGGCCGGCCAGGGTGGTCTTGGGAAATGCAACATTTGGGCAGGAAAACAAAAATGCCTGTCCTCACCTAGGTCCATGGGCACAGGCTGGGGTGGAGCCCTAGCCAGGGACCACGCCCTTTCTCCCTTCCATGTCATTTAAAGGGACTGTGCCCTTCCCTTCCCAGCACTTCCCTTCCTGTATCACCAGGTTCAAGCAGTTCTCCTGCCTCAGCCTCCTGAGTAGCTGGGACTACAGGTGCATGCCACCATACATGGCTATTTTTTTTTGTATTTTTAGTAGAGACAGGATTTCACCATGTTGGCCAGGCTGGTCTCGAACTCCTGACCTCAAGCGATCCACTTGCCTAGGCCTCCCAAAGTGCTAGGATTACAGGCATGAACCATTGCACCTGGCCCCTTAGCTTGGTCTTGTACCACTCCATACTCCAAAATTCTTTCTGGTTGCTGTTTGTCAGCCGTAACTGGAGTTGACATAAAGGGATGTAATGGGCAATCTGGCTGAGAGTAAGGTTGGAAAGGAGTCCAGGAGCCTCTTGTGAAAGGGATCGGGTACCAGGCTGGGTTCCAAGTGCACAAGGGAGTCCCAGAGGACGTGACATGGGAATAAAATGGTCAGCGTGCCAGATTGACATCTTAGAAAGATCATTTGCTCCTTAATCTGCCCCCATCACTTTCCTCTAAAAGGCCCTTATTGATAACCTCCACACTACTCAATCCTAGGGCACTCTTCAGTTCTGATCTCAATTGACATTTTTTTTTTTTTTTTGACGGCGTCTCGCTCTGTCGCCCAGGCTGGAGTGCAGTGGCTCAATCTCAGCTCACTGCAAGCTCCGCCTCCTGGGTTCACGCCATTCTCCTGCCTCAGCCTCCCGAGTAGCTGGGATTACAGGCGCCCGCCACCACGCCCAACTAATTTTTTGTATTTTTAGTAGAGACGGGGTTTCACTGTGTTAGCCAGGATGGTCTCAATCTCCTGACCTCATGATCCGCCCGCCTCGGCCTCCCAAAGTGCTGGGATTTCAGGCATGAGCCACCGCGCCCGGCCTCAATTGACATTTCTTAGAGCTGATTTTACTTGATTTCTTGCAGCCCTTGACACAATTGTTAACCCCTACCACCTGAAATGTCCTCCCTTGGTTTATGTGTTTCTGCACGTTCTGGTTTTCCTTCTCCCTTTCTGGCTGTCCCTTATTAGTTTTTCACCATCTCCTTTTCCATCAGGGAAAACTGTGTCAAAGTTGCTTGAGGCACAATCTTAGTTGGTATAATCTTTCCTTCTGCTTTCTCTCTTGACCATTAGGAGAGTGTGAAATCAGTTTAACACGTCATATAAGCATTGACAAAAGGATGAAGCAATGGAATAGAAAGTGTCAAGGTGCATCATGCACAGGGCAAATATTGTTTGAGGAAGCTTATTTCAGATTTAGATATAAATACACACATGCATATGTATGATGGCTGCAATGTAAAATATATATCTTACTGTGGGATGTGGTAAAACAGTTTGAAAGCCACAGCTGTACAACTCCTGTGTTTATTTCTCAGGGCCAGAATTCTCCTAGGAATGTAAGATCTGTGTGTATCCAACCGCCTACTCCACATCTCCTCTTAGATATCCTCTACGGAGACCTTAAACTCAATATATCCAAAATCAAATTCAAGCCCTTCACCCTAAACTTGGATTTTCTCTTCTGTTTCGCATCTCAGGGAAAAGCCCCACCATCCATCCAACTGCAGAAGCTAGAAACCTGGGCAACATCCTTGGTACTTAACTTTCTCCCAGCCCATGTCAAATATAGCTCCAAATCTTGTTGACTTAAACTCTGAAAGATTTCTTTACTCGGCTGTTTCTCTCTGTACATCTCCGCCTTCCATGCCTAAGATGTCCTCATCTCTCGAGAGACCTGGGTGAACTATACTGTATTTCCCCTTGGGCTCTCCTCTGACCCAGTCTCCACCAACTATCCTGAATGATGCTTGTAAAACATAACCAATCTAATCATGTTACTCTCTTGCTTGCAAGTCCTTCAATGGCACATCGTTCTTAGACCCACATTCTTAACATGGCCTACCAGATGCTCCCACGAGCTCCTCTTCTCTGCACTGCAGTCACATTTTTTGTGCTGGATATTGTCTTTTGACAGACAGCACCCATCCCCATTCTATGTGCCTTCCTATGTTGCGGATGCTGGAAAGCTAAAACATCTCCCAACTCCCTTGCAGCTAGGGCTCTAGCACTTAGATGTATTTGCATAAAAGATGGAAGGGAGGCATAAGTAAGCCAGACAGTTTGGGCTGTTTTTACCTGTAAATGGTTGCGGAGACAGTAGTGCACAGTCCCTGGCTTTGTAGAGGCAGGGAAAGGACTTGGCATTTCACTGTCCTGCCAGTGGCATTGGCAGTGACTTTCTGATCCCAGGATCCTGTCTTTGGGTGGCAGCTTCACCATTGTGTCCTCATGCTCAGCCTTTCCAGTGGTGGCCTCCTGGCTTCTGTCTTTCTGACTGTGAGAGGTAGTAACTCCCCTGGCAGTTCTATGGTGTTCTAGGAGTCATTCCTAATACCCAGCCCAGGGACCAGCATTTTCTTCAACAGCAAGAGTGGTTTCTGTTTCTAAACTTAGACTGATTCATTTAGTCTCTAGAAGTGGTCATGCCTCCTCCCACTATAGGGTTGTTTTACTTGCTATCCCTCTTGCCTAGGTTAATACCCTTGCCATCCCTTAATCCCCAGCCCCATCTCTCGATTAACTCCTTTTATGTCTTTTCCATCTCAGTTCAAACATTTTCTCTGATCCTTAAGACTGGATCAGCTTTGCTTGTTAAACAGGGATCTCACCCTGTATGTTTCTTTTAGTGCATCATCGTCTGTAATTATGTACTTGTGTGACTCTAGAATCTGAGCTTCAGGGACTTGATTATCCTGCTCCATGCTGTGTTCCATCGCTTAGAAAAGGCCCCTATAGAGTTGGCGCTTAACAGGCATGTGTTGAAAGAATGAATGGAATGGAGGAGGCCTGATTGGAGGCTCTGAGGACAAAATCCACGTTTTTAAATATGGCTGGTAAGCCCTGTGACACCTCTTCTCGGCGTTTTCTCCCAGCCACATCTTCCCCTGACTCTTGGCCAGTCCGAACACGCTGTGTGCTCTCTGGCCTCCAGGCCTCTACATCTGCTATTTCTGCTGCTTGGCTGTCTCTTCACTCTTAGCCTGGTTCTTACTCATCTTGCAGGTTTCAGTCAGGACGTTTTCTCTTCTAGGGAAACCTTTACTTCAGACAATTCTATACAGGACAAATGTTGGCTGGGTGCGGTGTCTCACGCCTGTAATCCCAGCACTTTCAGAGGCTGAGGCAGGTGGATCACCTGAGGTCAGGAGTTCGAGACCAGCCTGGCCAACATGCTGAAACCCCATCTCCACTAAAAATACAAAAATTAGCCGGGCGTGGTGGCACGTGCCTGTAATCCCAGCTACTTGGAAGGCTCAGGCACATGAATCGCTTGAATCCGGGAGGTGGAGGTTGCAGTGAGCCAAGATCATGCCACTGCACTCCAGCCTGGGCAACAGAGTGAGACTCTGTCTCAAAAAAAAATTGTTAAATATATGATTGTAAACATTGCCTACTGTTACTTATCTGTACCTTCCATTGCAAGTGCACTGTCTTGTTCAAGGCAGCCTATGCAGAGGGCCTTGCATGGGGCCCAGCTCTAATGCCCTCCGTATTTGTTGAAGTGGAATGAATCAATGTCCCCTAGTCAACCAGCCTCAGTCCGGGCATCTCTGCACACTTTCCAGGAGCCCAAAAACAGTGAAGAATTGTAATTTGAGGGCTGCTTGATCAGGAAAGGAAGCTGGGGGAGGTTTGTTCAGCTCCAGCCCCTGGCTGTCCCTGGGCCACCAGGCAGGAGGCCTTGAAGCAGATCCTGTGGGGGATGGGCAGGGAAACAGTTTCTTCCTCTCCTCCCTCCTGGAGAGTGGGGGGATGGGGCCAGGAGAGGGAAGGTTCCTTCAAGGAGGCTCCCTGGCACAGTGCCTGCTTTGAGGAACGGAGTGGAGAGTATGGTGAATGCAGGCTTTCTCCTGGCCCCTGGCCTCCAGCTCTGTGAGAGGGAGGGAAACCGCTGGCAAAGACGGGAAAGAGGGATGGGAGGGAGGGGAGAGTCTGCTTGCTTTGGGAGACAAGGAGAGGGGTTGAACTGGCTCTGAAAGACAGGATTCCCAAGAGCCTACCAGGTCCCAACTCCAGATCAGCTCTGGAAATATCCTCAAATCACTGAGTCAGAGTCAATATACTGGGAACGTTTAACTCTCAGGATCAGATCATCCTAGCATCACCAGCTGGAAAATCCTTCAGAGAGTTGTATCTGGGGTCTGCAGGGTATTGGACCTGAAGTCCAGGGACCTTGACCCTATTCTGCCTGCAGGCCCAGTCTCCAGTGGGGGCTAACTTGGAGAAGTCAGCTCCCTGGATCCCGCTTTTTCAACAGCTGGAAGAAATGGCATTTTCCCAGAACCCAAGAATATTTTGCATCCCATCCACAGCGCGCGCTTACAGTAACAGAAAGACGAGGAAGCTGGCAAACCACCTCTCTTTCCCACAGGTCTGTAATCTCCCTGAGGGCAGGGTTCAGCTCACACATCTTATACTCTGGTCTCAAACCTGGCTGCCCATCAGAATTGCTTGAGGATGATTAACTAAAATGTTTCACTTCCTCTAACAGTGATTCTGATTTATTGGAACTGTGTTAGGACTTAAAACCCGTTTTAACAGTGTGCTGATTGTGATGCAAAGGGACCGGCACAACGTAGTAGGTGCTAAGTGTTGCCTGCAGGGGTGGGAAATGTATTTAGCAAGGTAAACAAATGGAGTGTAGGGGAAGTGGGATTGAAATACGGTCTGGAGCTGGGTAACTGTGCATCTAACACTTTGAAAGGAAATAGTGCACCAGTTTTAGCAATACAAAAGATAAATATTTATTCAGAACAAAACTTTTAACAATCAATTTTACATTCTAAGCCACAAGGAAATAGCAAAACATATAGCAAAGGAAAAGCAAACACTAAAAGAAAAGCAGTGTACTGTCTTTTCTACTGGATAACACTTAGTTGGCCCATGACCTCTCGCTTGGCCTATCTCCCAAGTACATTTTAGAGTTAACAGCTCACTCATAATTTTGGGTTAAAATCCATCTTTCTCCTGAGAATCAGGAGTTGCACATGAGCTCCAGCTAGCTGCTTCTCTAGGGTTCGTAGCTATTGAGGCTAAGGTGCAAATGTAAACCTTTGGTAGGTTTCTTTACACAGGGGCACCCCCATTTCTCACTGGTGGCAATGAATGGGGAAGGGGTAGGGCCTCCAAAGGACCTGGCACACTGTAATCCAGAAGTGGTGCCCCAGGGAGCAACGAATGCACCCTGGAGTGTGGTCCTTGGTCCGTTCCGTATCTCCCAAGTATTCAGAAGCCCCTCCTTAAAAACCTTCTCTTTCTGCTCCCTCCTCCAGGTGATTTCTCAGCATTCCTCTGGGCTGATCATTCTGGAGAGATCAGACTTTCTGGGCCCTCAAGTGTTGAGGAAATTGTTGTGAAGTGTGAGAGGTAGTGGAATGAGCACCGGGCTTGGGGTCAGGGGACTCTACTATAGGCTGGCTCTGGCACCAGACAGCTATGTGATTTTCACCCAGTCATTTAACCTCTTTGGGCCTGTTTCATCTGCTGGAAAACCAGGGAATTGGTCCAAACCAACTCTCAGGTTCTTTCCAGCAGGAATATTCTAGATTCCATGATTCTATAAAAAATGGCTTCTGAGCCACCAAAAGAGCTGTCATGAAGTCCATGCATCTTTGTGCCATAAGAGAGGCCCTTGGCCACCATTCAGAGCTTATTGATTCAGATTATATACACTTCTAACAACACTGGTTTCACAAATTCTCAGACCACGTAGATTAAAAGCAGCAAATTAAATGAGGGAGGGGAAGAGCTGCAAAAGGTAGACACTCTGATAGAAGCCACAGTCAACAATGTTTTCAATTCAGCAAACACTGATGGAGTGCCTACCACGTGTTGGGCCCCGTACCTAGTGCTGGGGCATAAAGATGAGCAAGGCAGCCCAAAGGGTGAAAATCCAGGGGAAGAAAAGGTATGGGGCGGGGAGGGCGGGAGGGGGGCAAGGAGAGAGAGAAAAAGTACAAGAAACAAAACAAATACCCAATAGAAAAACGAAAATAAAATTTTAAAAGGGAGGGGCAACACATCTGCACGCTACAGTTCTCCGCAGTCGTTATTGGTGACAGAGTCACCAATTCAGAACAGGCTGAAATGGAGTAAACTCGGTTTAAGAAGGCATAGAGAGATGTCTCTTGTAGGTTTTAAAAAGATCTCCTTCAAAAACGATAAAAAATGGTTTAAAAAAAAGTTTTGGCACTTAAGAGGGATAAGCTGGCTGTGTGTTCACCCTGGCAGGCAGGCGGGTGTTTAGTGCCCGGCCACGCCGGTTAGCTGAGCTGCCACGGAATTGTGCACTGCTTTGGGACACTGGGCAAAGGCGTGTCCTCGCTTGCCACAGAGGTTGCACACGATGCCCTTCCGGCAGTAAGGGCTCAGGTGCCCCTCCTCCCCGCACCTGAAGCACCTGTCCTGCGTGCAGCTGCCGCTCATGTGGGTCCGGGAACCACATTTAAAGCATGTCTTGGGCTGCCCCTTGTACCAGCTGTAGCCCCTCTCGGCCCCCAGGAAGAAGGCCCCTGGCAAGTGCCTGACCCCGCCCTCCCCCTGGCGCAGCTCGATCTCGCATTTGTACTCCCCGGTCCAGATCCCAAACCTGTCGGTCACTTTCACCGGCACGGCCAGCACGTCGCAGTGGCGCTTGAGCCAAGTCACAATGTCCTCCACGTCCACCGTCTCGTTCCGGAAGAGGATGAAGAGCGTCTTCAAGCTGGACTTGCTCCGCCCCAGCACCACAAAGTTCTCCCAGCAGTCCTCCTGCTCCCGCTTCTCCTCGTAGACGCGTAGGAACAGGGCCAGCTTCTCCGCTGAGCGGAAGCTCACGTCGAATTCGCGGCTGCCCGGGATCTGGATGACCGCGTAGATGTCGCTCGGGTCCATGCCGATGGAGCGCAGGATAAGCGCTCCTACCACGAAGTCCCGGGTCGGGCAGGCGCCCTCGTCTCCCTGGAAACAGATGCGGACGAGGAAGCGACCCTTGCCCGGGCCTGCCGCCGCCGCCGGCTCATCCTGGAGGGGCCGCTCGGCCGCGTCCTCGGCCTCGCCGGGCCTGGCCGGGGTCGCCATGGCGGCCGCCGCCGCCTCGGCCTTCTTCCTCCTGCCCGCCTCCGCAGCGCCCTTCTTTTTGCGGGGGTCCACCGCCTCGCCGGCCGGATCTCTCCGACGGCCCTTCGGATCCCCGCGGCCAGCCGGTGGGAAGTCGCCGAGGTCCGGCGCCGCCAGGCCCGCGGGGCCGCCGAGCCCGGCGCTCCCTCCACCGCCGCCGCTTTCCTCCTCCCGCCGCGGCGGCCGCGGCTCGCGGAATTCGCCCTTCTTCTCGGCTAGATTCTTCACCACCTGGGCCCAGCCCATCTTCTCGCGGCCGCCGTCGGCCTCCTCGCCCCGGGCCGCGGGCCGCGCGGGGGGCAGAAGCTGCGGCCGCCCCCGTTTCCTCTCTTCCTCCGCGCCGCCGCCGGTGGCCATTTTACCTCCTTCCCAGCATCCTCCACTCGCTCCCGCAGCCAAAGGGCGCCCATCGCGCGCGCCCGCCCGCCGGGGCTGTGTGGGTTTGGTTTTTTTTTTTTTTTGAAATTTGACGCTACCCTCCCCCGCCGCGCCCTCAAAGGTATCACATGCGGCGCATATTGGCCAGCGCCGGCTCTGCGCCCCCTGCGCTGAGCCTCTCTTCCGCCAGCGCTCGCTCCAACCTCACCTCCGTCCGCAGCGGGATGGGGCGCCCGGAGGCGGCCCTTTCCCCAGCGCGGGTTTGGCAGCCTCCGGCCTCGCTCTCGAGGATTTGGCGTTTCGCAAGCGGTGCTCGACGATTTCATGCTAGCAGCTTTGCTAACGGCCCACAGCCCACAGGCGGGACGGAGTTCGGCAACATCTCTCCCATTTTTTCTTTTTTGTACCTTTTCTGTTAAAAAAGCAAAAGCAATAGCAAAATTAAAACTTAGCTTTCCGTTTCCCCAGAACTGACTGCAATGCGTTATTTTTTTTCCCACGTCGGATTATGCACGTTTTCAAGAAGAAAAGTTGAAAGTTTTACAGTGAACATTTTACCATTAACTTTTTATCATTAAAATTTTACTCTGTCACACTACGCCTCGATCCATTCATCGGTCTTTATTTTTTGATACATTTCCAAGTAAGTCATATTGCATTAATTTTTATTTTTTTGAAAAGACTTTCGTCGTATTTAGGATGAAGTGTGAGTGCTGCTTAAGTTCCCAGTACTGTGTTAAGCACACTTCAGACTTTATTACATGGAATCTTCCAAAAACAATGCTGTAATTATGCCCATTTTACAGATAAAGAGGCAGGAGTTAAGTCACTTGGCGGAGTTAATAGGCAGCCCCACGTATAGGTAGCTTATATTTCTTTCTTTCTTTCTTTTTTGAGACGGACTCTTGGTCTGTCGCCCAGGCTGGAGTGCAGTGGCTCAATCTCGGCTCACTGCAGGCTCCGCCTCCCGGGTTCACGCCATTCTCCTGCCTCGGCCTCCTGAGTAGCTGGGACTACAGGCGCCCGCCACCACGCCTGGCTAATTTTTTGTATTTTTAGTAGAGACGGGATTTCACCGTGTTAGCCAGGATGGTCTCGATCTCCTGACCTCGTGATCGCCCGCCTCGGCCTCCCAAAGTGCTGGGGTTACAGGCGTGAGCCACCGCGCCCGGCCGGTAGCTTATATTTATTTAACCACTTTATTTCTGACGCCGTGGATCAAGAACTGTGCATCAGATCCTAGGAAACCTTGTTAACAGGCAGATTCCCTTCATCCCAACTGCTGGTATTGGTCTCAGGGGAGCCACTGACTTGGGCCGTTTGCACTTTCCAGTCCTCTCACTTTATATCCTCAGGCACCATTTCCTTTATCCCTTCTCAGCCACGCATTCCCGTGATCATACTCGGAACTTCACCATTACCAGAAACATCAATGTCTTAGATTCACATACTTCTCTGTTATTCTTTCTACTTGCCTGGTCAAGTTTCACCATGAGGAGAATACTTACACAACCAAACAATAGATGTATTTTAAACAATCTCTTCCATTCCTCTTATCTTAAGCCCTCACTCCAGGTAACTATCACATAATCAAATATCTGCAAGGGTCAGGCAGGTGCCTTAAGTAGAAGATATACTGGGTGAACTGGAGATCGAATATTCTATCTGAAGGGGCAACTGCTAGTCAACTGTAGCTGAATATTCCTCTCCAGAAGTGAGGGTCCACTGTGGGGGGATCTTTCAGTTTCCAAAGAGAAATCTGAACTCCAGTTTCTTCTTTTATGGGAAACATTCTTCTCTCTCTTTCGTCTTCTTTAAGATGGTCTCAGCTATATTTGGAACCTCCATATAAATTTCACAACCTGCCTACTAAGTTCCAGGAAACTATGAGATCTTAATTGGCGTTGCACTGCATTTGTACAGAATTACCACTTTATAACACGGAGTCTTTCCATCAATGACCCCACTTGATTTCTCACTTATTTAGGCCTTATTTTATGAATTTCAATAAAATATTATAGTTTTCTTCATAAAGGTCTTACATACTTTTGGGGATTTATTCCAAAGTACCACGTGGTTTGACTGCTATTGTAAGTGAAATTATTGTAAATCAGAAGTTACATATGGTTTGTTGGTGTCCGTTAGAGGAAACACGATTGAATTTTGTGTACTGACCCCATATCTGGCAACAAAGTTGAAACCTTAAAAAATTTCCAGTGGTTTTTGGAATCTCTTTACTTTTCTGTATTGCCAATCATATCGTCTGTGAATAATGAAGGTTTTGTCTCTTTTTTCAAATCTTATACTTTTTCTTGTCTTACTGCACTAGTCAGGAACTCTCATATAATCAACGTATTTTGAGCATTTTTGTTTTGTGTTGGACTTTAAAGGCATCTGTCTGTATTTTGAAAATATTTGACTTGTGGATTAGGTTCTGGCTCCATGTCCAATTTTGCTAATCATATCTTCTTCTGTTGTACAATTTCATTGGTATGTGTAGGGCCATCCTTTTGGTCAGTTTCATTTTTTCCAGGTCAAATTTTGCAGAGATTATTACATCAGGAGCTACAGGGGCCAGGCAGGTACCCTGCAAGGAGAGCAGTCCGGATGGGCACTGAGGCCGTATGGAGAGAGCAGCTCTGGAGGGCTGTGCAGATGATAAGAAGGAATGTCTAGGATCTTGTTATGTCGAGTATAGCAGGTGTCTCCACAAGAACCACGGCATCTTACCCAGTGACAACAGTAGGGATTGTGGGTTTAGGATGCTGTGCACATTTGCCACAAAGCCAGCACATCAAATGACATGGATGGAAGCCCGAGACTGCCTGCTCAGCCTAGTCCACCTCTCAGCAAGATGTTGATGGAATCAGAGCCCAGGTTGCCATTGCTGAGCCTGGAGCCAAGCAGGCCTGAGAGGCCCTCTATCACATTTATCACCTCACATGTGCAGGGAGGAAAGGCCAGCTCATCTTGCCCACCTATCCTGGGGGCAGGAAGTTCCATCAGGTGTTCGTGAACACAGAAATGCCACCTGAACAGGTGTAAGTGCAAATGGACCCCATCTGATTCAATCCCAGTTCCAACAGCTTTGTTACAGGTGATTGTCAGTGGCCCCTCAAGTGTGTTTTGGCTTTGATTAAGATGGCAGCATTTTTGCAAATGTTTTTATGTATTTTTTTTAAAAATTTGAAGTGGGGCCAGGTGCGGTGGCTCACACCTGTAATCCCAGCACTTTGGGAGGCCAAGGCGGGCGGGTCACCTGAAGTTAGGAGTTCGAGACCAGCTTGAGCAACATAGAGAAACCCCGTCTCAACTAAAAATACAAAATTAGCCGGTTGTGGTGGCGCATGCCTGTAGTCCCAGCTACTCGAGAGGCTGAGGCAGGAGAATCACTTGAACCCGGGAGGCAGAGGTTGTGGTGAGCCAAGATCATGCCATTGCACTCCAGTCTGGGCAACAAGAGCGAAACTCTGTCTCAAAAACAAAAAAAAATTGAAGTGGGAGGCAGTAATATTACTGGTTAAGTACCTGAGATGTGGGGCACAGGCAGCTCTCAGTGGGTGTCCATGCTGGGTCAGCATGTCTGATGAGGAAGGCTGTCTGACAGTGGCCAAGCTCTTCTTTGTATTAATCAAGGTACAGGTTAAGCTACTGTAACAAAGGGACTCTCAAATACAGGGTCTCAGACAAGGTGGAGGTTTATTTCTCTTTGATGAAGCAGCTCGGAATTTGGCAGGCAGTAAGGACAGGTAGGTGACTTTCTCCTGCAAGGTTGTCAGGGACCCACCCAGGTTCCTTCTATCTTGTTGTTCCTCCAGACGTAGGGTTCAGTAAAATGCTTTTGGTCTGCAAGTACCAGAAAACTCAACTCAAATTTGCTCACCCAGTAATGTGATTTCTTATTTAATCTCAAGTATTTTCTAGATAGGTGAAAGGTTAATTTAATTAATTAATTTCTTTTAGAGACAGAATCTTACTCTGTTGCCCAGACTGGCGTGCAGTGGCACAATCATAGCTCACTGCAGTCTCAAACTCATGGGCTCAAGCAATCCTCCCACCACAGCCTCCCAAGTAGCTGAGACTACAGGTGCACATCATCACATCTGGCTAATTAAAACAAAATTTTTTTTTTCTGAGATGTGGTCTCACTATGTTGCCCAGACTGATCTCAAATGCCTGGCCTCAAGCGATGCTCCTGCGTCAGCTTCCCAAGTAGCTGGTATTACAGGCACATACTATTGTGCCAGGCTAGGGTTGGTTAATTTAATGGCTCAACAGTGCTATCAAGGAAGAAGGTTTTTACATTTTCCTCTCTACCATTCACTGTATATCCTCTTTGGCCAACTCCCCTCACAGTTCCGCGATTCCAGGAATCCCACACAGATATGACAATGTCTACCAGCAGATGAAGGAATGTTTTTCTGCAATGCCTTTTTTTAAAAGTGTGATGAAAACCTTTCCCAAAAGCCTTTGAGTAGATTTCTCATCCTGTCTTCTTAGCCAGACTTTCATCATGTATCTATGACTAGACCTCTAACTGGAAAGGGAAATTGGCTCACCAAGTCCAGCCTCAGACAGTCATGACTATTGGAGCTGGGACTAGGACTAGGGCTGGACCTGGGGCCTGCCTCCATTAAGGCAAGTGCATACATGGACAAGATCAGGATCCAATAGTTGCGATGATGGGGAGGAATGGCTGTTGAGTAAGTCACTACCTGGATCTGTCATGTATTCCTATCTTTTACTTTTTTTTTTTTTTGAGATGGAGTTTCATTATTGTTGTCCAGGTTGGAGTGCAGTGGCGTGATCTTGGCTCACTGCAACATCAGCCTCCCTGCTTCAAGTAATTCTCCTGCCTCAGCCTCCCAAGTAGCTGGGATTACAGGCACCCGCCACCACGCCTGGCTAATCCTATTTTGTATTTTTAGTAGAGATGGGGTTTCATCATGTTGGCCAGGCTGGTCTCGAACTTCTGACCTCAGGTGATCCATCTGCCTCGGCCTCCCAAAGTGCTGAGATTACAGGCGTGAGCCACCGTGCCCGGCCTTTATCTTTTACTTTTTAATGGTTTCCTGGTACAGAGTTGCCCAGCAAGAGTGCTGTCATATGGTGTGCTCTGCAAATGAGGGTACCCAACACAGTGATTCCCTCAGCTCTAGGGTCAGCCAGGAGGGGCCTGAATAGCCAGAGTACCTGGGCTAATTGCTTTTTATCCTAGCAGCTGCTTCTATTTACCACAGTGCATTTAAACACATTCTCCTGTGATTTTTAAGAGGCAGAAAAGGTTGGGAGCTCTGACATGGTATTCTATAGCAATGTTCCCCTATTGAAGTTTAAGTGATTTAAAATTATTGCTCCCGCCCAATTATCTTTTAAACTGGAATTCTCTTTTAAATCCGTGCTCTATCTAGCAAATCTGGTGTGTAGAGAGAGAATTGGTGTAGGGCAAGGGTGGGAACTAGTACTTTAGTTGGGGTACAAAAGGAAAGAGGGGTGTGTGTGTGTGTATGTGTGGTCCTATTCCAGATATACGTTGAAGTTATTGCAACAGGATCTGCTGATGGATGTGGGATAAGAGATGAGTTAAGGATGATTCCAAGAAGAGAGATGCCCTATTTTAAGTTCGGGAAAAATGTTTCTGGAAAAATATTGCACATTAGAGTTGCTTATAAGGGGCCCAAGCAGGCAGTTGGATGTACATGGCTGGAATTCAGGGGGAGGATGGAGACGTGAGTCTGAGAGGCATCTGGGTACGGATGGTATTCAAAACCATGAGACTGGAAGGGAGGGGGCTGGGACTGAGTCCTGGGATACTACAATGATAAAGGGAGAAGAGGAGGAACCAGCAAAGGAGACTGAAAAGGAGGCAGGAAGCAACTCAAGAGTGGTTTCCTGGATACTAAGTTAAGAAAGTGTTTCAGGGGAGGGAGTGATCTGTTGTGTCAAATGCTGCAGACAGGCCAAATAAAGGGAGGACCTAGAAGTGACCATGGGGTTTAGCAAAGTGGAGGTCACCAATGATGTTGACGAGGGCAGTTTCAGTGGGGAGTGAAAGCCTGATTGAGAGGAGGGAAAAAAATGGGAAACAGAGTAGGCAAACCTCTCTAGGAGTTTTGCTTTAAAATGAAGCAGAAATGGGAGCTGGCTGGAGGGGAAGTGGTTTGTTTATTTATTTAGAGATAGGGTCTTGCTCTGTCAACCAGGCTGGAATGCAGTGGCTGGATCGTGGCTCACTGCAGACTGGACCTTTCTGGCTCAAGCGATCTTCCCACCTCTGGCCTCCCAAAGTGCTCTCATGCTTATATGCATGAGCCACCGTGTCCGGCTGTGGACAATCTTTTTAAATAGAAGAAATTTAAAAATACGTTGGTATACTGATGATACAAAGGAGAGAGAAAAGAGGAGGAAAAAACGGGGAGAACTGCTCGGCCAATATCTTTGAGAAAACGTGAGAGGATAGGATTCGGTGCATAAATGTAGGAATTGGTCTTAGTAGGCAGTTTATACGTAGTTACGGGAGGGAGGCAAGTAGGCGAGTAAATGATGCCATGAACTTGTGGGTTTACTGATTCCCACAATTTTCTTAGTAAAATTGGAAGCAAACTCATTAGCCAAGAGTGAAGATGGCGAAGGAAATGGTGGAAGTTTGATGAGAGTGGAGAAATATGATATCATATTTTAGGATTATGGGCAGAGCAAACTGAAGGGAATTTGAAAATTGAAAAGCGGGCCGAACTAGATTTTGCCTTGAGAGGTTAGTCCCTTTAGGCGCTCGGTAGGCGGCGTCGCGTTTCCTTGGAGACCGAGACGCTGGCGAAAGCATCGGGTCTCGGGACTTCTGAGTGGCCTGGGTTACCGCGCGATCTACACTGAGACAAGGAAGTTGGAAAAGCCGAGTAGTTATACCAGAAGATCAGGGTCTCACAGACTCGCAACTTCTCTTCCATTTTCCCCAATGGCGCATGTCTTACAAAAGTAGGTAAAAAAAAAAAAAAAAAAAAATTGGAAGAAAGGCGGAATACGCATGCGTACTTCACACCCCGCCGCTGTCCCGCCCTCGCCTCGAGGTCGCCCTCGGTCTTCTGACCCCCGTCCTCTCCCCGCCCACATCTCCTTGGCCCCGCCCCACTCCCGCGGGGCTATTGTCCCCGGTAAACTGCAGTTTCTGGTTCGAGACTCCAATCCTGTTTCGAATTGCTGCTTGCTGCCCCTTGGGCTGGGGATAATGGAAGTTCTTTCCCTTCCCAACTCTTTCCAGACCCAAGCACTCTGGGACTCACTCCATAGTCCAGGAGTTCCAGGTTCCGGTGAGTCTTGGGGGACTAGGGCTGGGGTGGGAGGCTCGCTGGCCCTGCAGTCCACCTGCTCTCCACTCTCACGGTCGTGACTGCTCCGCGGATATAGGCTGGAGACCCGAATTCCAGTCCCAGCCGGGTCACACTTTGCTGTGGGACCCAGAGCAAGCCTCAGAACCTCATTTTTCTCCTCTCACTGTCTTATCAGAATGTAAGGGTATATTATGCTGCTCTCTTATTCATCTGATTGCTGCTCTGGTTTCCTGAGGGTGGATGTCTGCGTCTTTTCCATGCCTTCTGTTTCTCACAGTTCTTAGCACCTCACAGCCTGGATGTGCTTAGTAAATTCTGGCTGGCTGATTTAAAAAAGTGATAGCTAACATTTATGGAGCACTTACCACATGCTTCATAAATATCTCTCAGAATTCTTGCGCCAATCCACAGAAGTAGGTTTTATTATTAGATCCACTTTACAGATGAGAAGATTGAGGCTCAGGAGAGGTCAAGTCACTTGCTTGGGGTCACAGATATCTGAAAAGGGTAGAGCTGGGATATAAACTCATGGTGCTATGTGACTGATTGTATATTTTGTAGGATTATGTTCCATGGCAGCAGTCCAAGCAGGAAACCAAGCCATCTACTCTGCCTCCAGTCCAACAAGCCAACAGCCTTCATACAAGCAAAATGAAGACTTTGACTAGGGTCCAACCAGGTGGGCGGAGGCACCTGGGAGCTGGTGTGGGGGTTGGAGACAGGATAGAGTGGCTGCTTTTGGCTCTTGGTGACACCACTTATATTAGGGTAGGCTAACTGATGTAATAAACAATGCCCAAATTGCAAGTATTGATATAGAAGTTTATATCTCATTTATGCCACAGTACATTTGTGGATCTGAGGAAGGAGGGATTCTGTTCCACATGGTCATTCAGGGATCCAGGTTCCTTTGACCTTGTGGGTCTGATATTTTGTAAGGTCTTGAAGTCTTCTGCTGGATACTTTTGCATCCAGCTGGCATAGAGGGAAGAGAGAGAACAAGAACATGGACAATTATGTGGGCATTTTTTTTGGGGGGGGTCCAGATTTGAAGTGACAAATGTTACTCCTACTCATGTTTCAGGGGCCATAATTTAGCCACATGACCTCTGCTAACCACAAGGGAAGGTGGGAAATGTAGTCCATCTGTTTTTCCAGGAGGAAAAGAAAACAAGGTTTGGTGAAATCGTAGAATAAACTCTGCCACATCATTATCATGCTTTACAGGGGAGTTCCGAGGCCTTGGGTCAGGCTCAGGCAGACATGGGGTCAGATTTTGGCTCTGCCATTTACTCACTTGGAAAAATCATTCATCTCTCTGAGCCTTGGTTTTCTCATTTGTGAAATGGGGACACTAATACCACCTAGGATTGTTGTGAGAATTAATAACAAATATTTTGTAATATTTCTTTGGTATCCTGAAATGAACTTCATAGACAATCTAGCATACTTATGTATACATCTATGTATAAAATCACTCATACCACCTCATTGCCTCTGAGTAAGTAATGTTAGATCAGCTCCCCTGTGGGCAACACTGAAACACAGAAAGGAGATGGGAGAGTAGAATGCCAAGTTGCCCTGCATCTCACTACCTTATTTTACCTCACTGATGCTGGGTGGGGATAGAGGCTCAGGCTCCCACCAGGCTCTACTGACATAGGTAGGCTGGGGGAGGGGAGTGAAGCCCAGAGGTGATGAGTCCCACCTCATGACACTTCATGAAATCTTGTCACTGCTAGACTCTGTTGACACTACCCTAGAGAGAGAGTCAGAGCACTGTCTTCTGCCAGGTGGGGGTTAGAAGATGACCTCCCCACTCATCCCTGCCAGCACTATCCCAGTTGGGGAATCAGCACCACCAAGCAGGGAATGAAGGATCAGCTACCTGCTGGACACTGCCAACACTTCCCAGTGAGGAAAAGGGAATAAATCCATACCAATATTCCCAATGGGTTTTTCAGAAAGTGGAAAAACAATTCAGTGGAGGAAGAAAGCCTTTTCCATGGGTGGCGCTGGAGCAATTGGACACCCATAGGCAAAAAAAAAAAAAAAAAAAAAAAGAAAAAGAAAAAGAAAGAAATGATTTAACAACGAATATAAAAATTAGCTCAAAGATAAAATAAAATAGAAATTAAATGTAAAATGTGAAACTGAAAAACTTTTAGAAGAAAACAGGAGAGAAAAATCTTTGGGGCCTAGGGCCAAGTGAAGAGTTCTTAGGTATCACACCAAAAGCTTGACCCATAAAAGAAAAATAGATGAATTGGACTGCATCAAAATTAAAAATTTTGTTCTGTGAAAGACTTTTTTTTTTTTTTTTTTTTTTGAGAAGGAGTCTCGCTTTGTTGCTCAGGCCAGGGTGCAGTGGTGCGATCTCAGCTCACTGCAAACTCTGTCTCCCGGGTTCAAGCGATTCTCCTGCCTTAGCCTCCCGAGTAGCTGGGACTGAAGGCGTGTGCCACCATGCCTGGCTAATTTTTGTATTTTTAGTAGAGACAGGCTGGTCTCGAACTTGTGACCTCAAGTAATCTGCCCGCCTCAGCCTCCCAAAGTGCTGGGATTATAGGTGAGAGCCACTGCACCTGGCCTTATGAAAGACCTTTTTAGGAGGATGAAAAGACAAGCTATAGACTTGGAGAAAATATTTGCAAACCATGTATCTGACAAAGGACTACTATGTAGAATATATCAGTAACAGTAAAAACTCAACAGTGAAACAGACAATTCAGTTAGGCAATGGGAAAAAGACATGAAGAGACATTTCACCAAAGCAGATATACAGATGTCAGATAAGCACATTAAAAAGATGTTCAACATCATTAGCCATTGGGGCAATGCAAATTAAGCCACAGTGAGATATCACTGCACACCTATCGAAATGGCTAAAATAAAAAAATAGTGATAACACCAAATGCTAGCAAAGAGGAGACGTCAGATTGTGCGCAATTGCTGGTGGGAAGGTAAAATGATGCAGCCTCTCTGGAAACAAGTGTGGCCATTTCTAACAACATGAAACATGCACTTCCTAGTAATCCGACCCAGCAGTTTTACTCTTGGGCATTTATTCCAGAGAAATGAAAACTTATATTCACACAAAAGCCAGTATGTGAATGTTCATAGCAGCCTCGTTCATAATTCCTCAAAACTGGAAACAACCTTGAAGTCCCTCAGTGGGTGAATGTTTAAACAACCTATGGTGTATCCCCACCGTGGAAAACTATACAGCGATAAACAGGAAAGAACTATTGATATATTCAACAACTTGGATGAATCTCCAGAGAATTATGCCAAGTAAAAAAAAGCCAATCCCCACAGTTACATACTGGATGATTCCATTTATATAACCTTCTGGGGATCACAAAATTATAGAAATGGAGAGCAGATTAGTGATTGCAGGGGTTAGGGACAGAGTTGTGAGGAGGGTGGTAAGGGGAGGGAAGTGGGTGTGGTTGTAGAAGGCGACAGGCAGGATCCTTGTGGTTATGGGAAAGTCCTATATCTTGCTCATCTTAATGTCAATATCCTGGTTGTGATATTGTACCGTACTTTTGCAGGATGTTGCCACTGGGAGAAACTGGGTAAAGGGTACATAGACTACCTCTGTTTCCTTTTCTTTCCTTTCTTTTTCTTTTTCTTTTTCTTTTCCTTTTCCTCTCCCCTCCCTTCCCCTCCCCTCTCCTCTCCTCTCCTTTCCTTTCCTTTTTTTCAGACAGAGTCTCTCTCTCTCTCTGTCTCTCTTACCCAGGCTGGAGTACAGTGGTGTGATCTCAGCTCACTGTAACCTCCAACTCCCGGGTTCAAGCGATTCCCCTGCCTCAGCCTCCCAAGTAGCTGGGATTACAGGCGTGCACCACCACACCTGGCTAAATTTTGTATTTTTAGTAGAGATGGGGTTTCACCATGTTCGCCAGGCTGATCTTGAACTCCTAACCTCAGGTGATCCACATGCCTCAGCCTCCCAAAGTGCTGGGATTACAGGCGTGAGCCACCACGGCCAGCCCCTCCGTATTATTTCTTAAAACTGCTTGTGAATCTGAACTATCTTGTAATAAAAGATTTAATTTAAAAAAAGATAAATTAGGGCTACTACCAATAATGAAAATAAATCCTCATTATTAAAACTGCAAATCTTCCTTAAGCATTTAAATTCAACTTAAGAATCTTACAATTTTTATAAACACTTGTAAGGGGGTTTTGGAACTTGGTTAATTAAATTCTCCTAAACCTTTTAAGCCACATCTTAAATTTTAACGTATTCATTTTCATTTTCAAATGGTTCACTTGTCTGATTAACAAAAACCATTGGGTATTTACATAATTCTTGTATATCTAATACTTAAACTTCTAAATATGGGTAATCTGGCCGGGCGCGGTGGCTCACACCTGTAATCCCAGCACTTTGGGAGGCTGAGGCAGGTGGATCCCCTGAGGTCAGGACCAGCCTGGCCAACATGGCAAAACCGCATCTCTACTAAAAATTAAAAAATTAGCTGGGTGTGGTGGCGGGCACCTGTTATCCCAGCTATTCAGGAGGCTGAGGCAGGAGAATTGCTTGAATCTGGGAGGCAGAAGTAGCAGTGAGCCGAGATCTCGCCATTGAACACCAGCCTGGGCAACGGAGCTAATAAGAGTGTATTAAACCTTTCAACTTAAATCTAAATCAAAATCCCACTTACACTTTTAAAATTAGAATCACAAGATTAACCTATTAATCATTCTATCTCTTATACAATACAACTAAAAACCGGATATATACAGGTAATTTATAAATTAAACACAAAATTAATTTACTTAATCATCTCCATAGTTAATGCCAGCATTTCTCAGGATGAAGGACATTGATCTATTAAAGAGATTAGTATCTCTCCCAGATGAGCTGGGTTGTACCTGAAGCAGGGATTTTGGTGAGGACTGAGAGTACAGCTGGATCCACCTGGGCGATTTGTCCCATGTCATTGCACGACAGGCAGAGAGGAAACAGGGATTCTGAGAATATGCCCCCCAAATGCCTGTACTCTTATCTGGCAGAACCACAGCCCTTAGAGTGTTTCAGAGACAGCCAGTTGGAGTTTTGCGTGGCTGCTGTGCCTTCGTCTGGTGTTGTGGTCCCACTTCTCAGGTCACTAGAAGTAAGAGTAACAACTGGTAATGTGTATCCAGCACTGAATATGCATCAGGCACTATTCCAAACACCTTTAAGGTATAGTAACTTCTTTCATCTTCAGGAAGACTCTATGAGGTGGGCGTGATGATTATTCCCATTTTATAGGTGGACGAATGGAGGGACACAGAGGTCATTTGACTTGCTCAAGGTCACGCAGCTAGTAGAAGGCAGAACCTGGAATTTTTAAAAATTTATTTTTATGATTATATATATTTTTTGAGATAGAGTCTCTGTCACCCAGGCTGGAGTGCAGTGGCGGGATCTCGCACCACTGCAACCTCCGCCTCCCGAGTTCAAACGATTCTCTTGCCTCAGCCTCCCAAGTAGCTGGGATTACAGGCGCCCATCATCATGTCCATCTCATTTTTTGTATTTTTAATAGAGACAGGGTTTCACCATGTTGGCCAGGCTGATCTTGAACTGTTGACCACAGGTGATCCGCCCGCCTTGGCCTCCCAAAGTGTTGAGATTACAGGCGTGAGCCGCCATGCCTGGCCAAGAGCCTGGATTTAAACTTGGACTGTCTGGCTCATTAGTTCTTGCTCTTAACCCCTACCCCATCAGGCCTTCTGCCAGCCAGGTTGGTGGGACAGCAGGGATTTGGATTCAGGCCTGCCAGACTCTGGTCTTTCTGCTGTCCTGTGCTGCAGTAGCTACTGGAAAGACACAAGGAGTGGGAGTTCCCGACTCTCTTTCTGACTGGACATTTGAGAGCGGGGTTCCTGGCTGCCCTGCCCTCCCCTCTGTCCATGTCCATAGTTACTGCTTTCACCTGGGCTTGTCCCTCCCTCATATTGAGGCCCAGAGTCTGTCCTGGGAGCTTAGTGAAGGGTGTGAATTTCACCCTCGGTCTAGTGTCACATTATAAGGCAGTCAGAGGGTGGAGCTGGGGTCTGGCCCTCCTCTCATTAATGGTGCACTCCCGGGAACCTGGCCTCAGGCCTTCCGGGACCCTCACTCTCTCCCTGTCCTTTCCTGTCTACCCCTAGTGTTTCACTTCAAGCCCACTACGGTGGTGACAAGCTGCCAGCCGAAGAATCCAAGAGAACTACATAGAAGGCGGAAGTTGGACCCTGGGAAGATGCATGCCAAAATCTGGTTAATGAAGGTATGAGGCACATCTTCCCTGGACACTGGGCCCAGGACAGGGACGGGGATGATGGCTGTAGCAAACATGTGCTGAGAACTTTGTGGGTGCCAGACTTGACTCATTTCTTCCTCACAGGAACTGTGTGAGCACGCTTATCCTTGTTCCTATTTTACAAACCGGGAAACTGAGGCGCAGGGAGATAAATGACATGCACCAGGTCACACAGCCAGGAAATGGCAGGATCAGGGGTCAAAGCCAGTTAAACAAAGCGTTTGCTGTTCTGTTTAAGACTCAAGAAATAATCAGAATTGCTTGTTATTTTGTTGCATTAGGAACACGATCTAGTGGCTTATTTATCTTAAAATTTGCAGCAACTTGGCCGGGTGTGGTGGCTCATGCCTATAATCCCAGCACTTTGGGAGGTCTAGGTGGGTGGATCATTTGACGTCAGGAGTTCGAGACCAGCCTGGCCAACGTGGTGAAACCCCGTTTCTACTCAAACTACAAAAATTAGCTGGGTGTGGTAGCACGCACCTGTAGTCCCAGCTACTCGGGAGGCTGAGGCAGGAGACCGGCTTGAACCTGGGAGGCAGAGGTTGCAGTGAGCTGAGATGGTGCCACTGCACTCCAGCCTGGGAGACAGAGTGAGACTTCATCTCAAAAAAAAAAAATTCCAGTAAATTAAATTTTCTTACAGTGTACTTTGAAGCAAGCCTTAGAAACTGACAATGAAAATTTTCACATCAATCGCTACAATTGTAGGTAATTAATTTCCTCGCTATACATTGTTTTATGGCTTCTGTAATTATCTGAACAATGTCTCAAAGTATTTGAAATGCCTAAAGGAAGACAAGTCCTTAGCATACATAGCAGAAAGTAAAATACTAAGTATTATAAAGACTACAAAATACTATAGAATAATTCTTCAAGAAAATTTTTAATAGCTCAATGAACAATGACTACTATATAAAGAACAAGGGAAAATATAATTTGCTTTGAAACCTTTTTTTCCCCTTTAACCTTTTATCTTGCAAAATGGTTTAGAGGTAGCCCAGTATTCTTAAAGGAGGAACTCATATTTCTCTTAGTTTTTAAAAAAATTTTTTTTTGAGACAGAGTTTCACTCCGTCACCCAGGCTGGAGTGCAGTGGCAAGATCTCAGGTCACTGCAACCTCCACCTCCCAGGTTTGAGTGAGTCTCCTGCCTCAGCCTCCTGAGTACCTGGGATTACAGGCGCCCACCACCACGCCCAGCTAATTTTTTGTATTGTTAGTAGAGATGGGGTTTCACCATATTGGCCAGGCTGGTCTCCAACTCCTGACCTTAGGTGATCTGCCCGCCTTGGCCTCCCAAAGTGCTGGGATTATAGGTGTGAGCCACCGCTTCCAGCCATTTCTGTTATTTTTATCCTAACTTTAGAGGGGTTTAGGTGTTTTTGATTGATGTAGAAGCTGAACGTGGACAATTTGGCTCTAAAACTTGTGCTCCTAACCAGTCCAGTTCTTAATACTGTCTCTTGCAATCTTTCATTCATTTAATGAATCAACAAATATTGATTGAGCACCTACCATGTGCCAGGTTCTATTCTGAGTATGAGGGTTCACCAGTAATGTGACCTCTGATCTTAGGGGACTTCCATTCTATTGGATGGGGGAGACTGACAATCAACAAGAGAAAGATATTTGAAATGATGATAAGAGCTAAAGAGAAGCCTAAGAATAAGGTTAGGGGGCTGGAGGCACGGAGGAGAGTGTGGCAGTAATTGTTTAGGTGCTAACGAGAGGCTGCTAAGGTGGGTGACATTTGAACTGAAACCCTAGTGCTGCTGTTTCAGTGGGCCCAGGACTTGGAGAATAACATTTTTCACAAGATACTTCTGGGTATTTTGGTCTGGAGATGTGGAGACAAGGTAGTGGAGTGGCTAGGAGGCAAGACTTCAAGGATGACAGCTCTGCTATGTGTGACCTTGAATAAGTTACTGAATTTAATCCTTGCTGTCCACATTGACTGATTGAGACAGGGTCTCGCTGTGTCATCCAGGCTGGAGCGCAGTGGCATGATCATGGCTCACTGCAGCCTGGACCTTCCGAGCCCAGGTGATCCTCCCACCTCAGCCTCTCGGAGTAGTTGGGACTATAGACATGCACTATCATGCCCAGCTAATTTTCGTAGAGATGGGATCTCCCTTTGTTGCCCAGGGCTCTAACTCCTGGGCTCAAGTAGTCCTTCCACCTTGCTCTTCCAAAGTGCTGGGATTACAGGTGTGAACCACTGTGCCCGACTGCTGTCCACTTTTATAAAGTTGGCCTAATAATAGTGCCCATCTCTTAGTCTTGCTGTGAGGGTGATGTGCTGCAGTGCGCATGAAGTGCTTAGTACAGTATCAGCCACATGGCAAGCACTCAGCACATCAGCATGATTACTGTTATATGAGAAATAAAGGAGCTGAGGGCTAGGAAGGGGTCGTTTTTAGTAAAGGACGGAGAAATGAGGAAGTACAGGAACAAATGAAAGAGCAAATATTTATGGCAGGGGTAGAGGGTTAGAGCCAGAGACAGTAGTATCAGCTATTGTTCACTGAGTGCACATGAGTGCACTCTCACTAAGTGGCTTGATTGTGAATTTAAAGACAGGGTCTTGCTCTGTCACCCAGGCTAAAGTGAAATGGCATAATCATAGCTCACTGCAGCCGTAAACTCCTGGGCTCAAGAGATCCTCCTGCCTCAGCCTCCCAAGTAGCTAGGACTATAGGTGCACACCACCATGCCCAGCGAACATTTTAATTTTTTAAAATTGTATTTATTTATTTATTTATTTACTTTTAGAGACAAGTTCTTGCTGTGTTACCCGGGCTGGAGTGTGGTGGCATAATCTTGACTTACTGCAGCCTCGATCTTCTGGGCTCAAACATTCCTCCCACCTCAGACTCCTGAGTAGCTAGGACTGTAGGTGTACACCACCACACCCAGCGAATTTTGTTTACTTTTTGTAGAAATGAGGTCTCACTATGTTGCCCAGGCTGGTCTTGAACTCCTGGCCTTGAGTGATCCTCCCATCTGGGCCTCGCAAAGTGTTGGGATTACAGGCGTGAGTCACCGCACCTGTCCAATCTCATTTATATTTTACGGCAGTTCTCTAAAACAGATACTAGTTTCCTTACCTTTAGAATGAGTATAAGGAGGCTCTGAGACATTAACTAACTTGCCCAGATTCTCTTAGATGGTAAGTGGCTGAGCTGGGATTTGAACCAAGGTGTGTCTAGGTTCAACATCCAAGTCTTAGTCACTACGTGGTTCAGCCATGCCTTGCAGTTTTAAGGCTACTCAGTTCTTGTTTTAGCATAACGGAAAGACAGACATTGGGATTCAGAAGTCTGGCTTTCCAGTTCCAGCCCTGCCACTTCTTGACTGTGTGACACTGGGCAAGTCATTAAACTCTCTGAGCCTCCATTTATCAGCAAAATAGAGTTAGTAAACATAAAGCTGTTGGAGGGTGAACAGATACCATGTGCCACCTGCAGAGCAAGGCACAGCACCTGGCCTGGCATGTAGAGGGCCCTCAGCAATTGTTGTTGTTATTGTTACTGTAGGTTTTATGCACCTGCTGGGTGTAACCTTAGGGGAGTACAATTGTTGTTGTTATTGTTACTGTAGGTTTTATGCACCTGCTGGGTGTAACCTTAGGGGAGTACAATTGTTGTTGTTATTGTTACTGTAGGTTTTATGCACCTGCTGGGTGTAACCTTAGGGAAGTACAATTGTTGTTGTTGTTGTTACTGTAGGTTTTATGCACCTGCTGGGTGTAACCTTAGGCGAGTCACTTAACCCTCAGACCCTCCTTGTTCCACTGGGGGCTGTTGTGTGAAATGAGAGTACTCATTGACTCCGCGGCCTGCCCGGAAATGCTGACGTTTATCATCCATTTTGCCTCCCCTGCTTCTCCTCCAGACATGGCGGTCGCTCTGCCACCTTCTTAACCTACCTGGGGCGTTTATTATTATTATTATTATTGGGACAGGAATCTTCCTCTGTCGCCCAGGCTGGAGAGCAGTGGCGCCATCTCGCTCACTGCAACCTCCGCCTCCCAGGTTCAAGCGATTCTCCTGCCTCAGCCTCCCCAGTAGCTGGCATTACAGGCACGCGCCACCACGCTCGGCTAATTTTTGTATTTTTAGTGGAGACGGGGTTTCACCATGTTGGTCAGGCTGGTCTCGAACTCTTGACCTCGTGATCGGCCCACCTTGGCCTCCCAAAGTGCTGGGATTATAGACGTGAGCCACCCCGCCCGGCCCTTACTATTATTTCTATATTTCATTGATTCTGAGAAGCCATTGATATGAAGGCACATCTTTATTTACCCACTAATAATATATTTGTTGATTAGTTGGTGACACGCCACCAACTGTAGATGCACCCGCACCTCAGGGATGTGAGATGATGGGTACACGTGCGTTTCCGAACGGATGAGAGTCCCGGAGCTCCCGGGCGGCGCAGACAATGGGGAACCGCCCAGCTTGGGCCGCGTTTACCAGCAGGAGGCCGCACGGGGGCGGGCGTCTGGCGGGGCCGGGGCGGCGGGTCCACGGGCTTTCGGGGGCTCAGGCCGGGCAGGGCGCAGCGCCGCCTCTCTGCTCTTCCCTCCGCCCGCAGACCTCGCTCAGGAGCGGGAGGGCCGCTCTGCGAGAGCTCCGAAGCCGTGAGAACTTCCTCAGCAAGCTCAACCGGGAGCTGATCGAGACCATCCAGGAGATGGAGAACAGCACGACCCTGCACGTGCGGGCCCTGCTGCAGCAGCAGGACACCCTGGCGGTGAGACCCGCGGCATCCGCCCGCCCTCCGTCCCTCCGTCCCAACCTCCGTCCCTCCCTCCCTCCCTCCGTCCCTCCGTCCCGCCCTCCGTCCCTCCCTCCCTCCCTCCCTCCGTCCCGCCCTCCCGCCCTCCGTCCCGCCCTCCCTCCGTCCCTCCGTCCCGCCCTCCCGCCGTCCCGCCCTCCGTCCCTCCCTCCCTCCCTCCGTCCCGCCCTCCCTCCCTCCGTCCCGCCCTCCCTCCGCGCACTCGCGCGCCCTCTCCTGCCTTTCCCCGCCCACTGCACGTGGTGCTTCCTCCACCTGGAAGACGCATTTCTTCACCCTTCACTCCCCTCACCTGGGCTTTGCAAGAGGACCGAGATGGGTTTCATCCCAGCGCGCCAGCACTCACTGGCCGGGAGACTTTTAGTTAACTTTGCCTCCCCGAGCTCTGTGAAATGCGGCACCATAGCACCCGTCCCAGAGGGGGTTCACCGGGCACATACTGTACCGGTGCGACAGAGGTCGCTGCTACCACCAACAGCATTTGCAAACACCTCTACGTGTAATAGCAAGCGATCTGTATGTCTTTATATAGTCCTTACAACAACCCTATGGGTGGACACTGTTACTGTCCCGATTAGCCTCTGGTCAGGTTTCTGGGAGTGAGGTTGGGACTGGGGACTCCTCTGAGGAAGTGCTGGGTGGCCGCCTCTGAGAGCCAGCAGAGCCTGTGGGTGAGTTGACTCCACCCCTCCCGCAGACCATCATCGACATCTTGGAGTACTCAAACAAGAAGAGGCTGCAGCAATTGAAATCTGAGCTTCAGGAGTGGGAAGAAAAGAAGAAATGCAAGATGAGCTGTAAGAATCCCTGGCAAATTCCTTGACCCTCCCCCCTGGCACCTTGGGGAGGTCAGCAGCAGAGCATTCACCTTGTACTTGCCATTCAGAAACCCTCAGCCCCATTGGCTCTCTTCTTGGCAGATGGGAATGCTAAGATACAGAGCGAATAGCATAGTTACCCAACACTTAGCTCTTTCCAGGCCCCGTATCTGGGTCTCTACCAATGTCTGCATTGTTACAGGCACACACTCAGTCATTGCAACTACTTGGAGGCAGGGAAGCTGTCCTCCCATTTTACAGATGAGGAAACCGAGGCTAAGAGAGGTGCAGTAGCTTGTGGAAGGTTATATAGCTAGGAGCCAGAATCCAATCCTAGCCTGGCTCTGTTTCCTGCCAAGGTCCTTCTGGGAGTCAGTGGCTGGGCTAGAACCTGGGTCTCCTGGCTTCCATCCTGCCTGGCCTGTGGTTCCTTTTCCCTGAGCAGACTACACACCTGCTGAGCAGAGGGGTGGTGGATCAGTCAACCCCAGACATTGGGGGTCTCTCTGGAGGAAGACAGGATAGACTTTGTCTTAATCCTGCCATGGGTTGTGTCTTGGGAGCCACTGTCACCCCATCTGCCTGGTCTCACTTCCTTGAGTGTGTCTCTGAGGAGACTGAAGTCTGGAGAGGGACAGTCTTGGCGAGAGCCACCCGGCAAGTCAGTGGCAGAGTGGGGACTAGTCTAGGGATCATGCACCAATTCCCTTCCTTTTTCCTACCCAGCATTGCCTCTTCTCCTGCAGGGGTGGAAAACCGTCTAGAGCCTTAACTTTTAACCACCTCCCAGCCCTGTGTGAGCTCACCTCAGCCCAGACCCCAGTTACTGGCCAAGGAGACCTTGCCTCCTGGGCCTCCTGGGGCCCAGGTGCTTGAGGGAAGGTCTTGCCTCCTGTCCCTGCTGACCTCCCTAACCCCTCCCCAGATCTTGAGCAGCAGGCAGAGCAGCTGAATGCCAAGATTGAGAAGACCCAGGAGGAAGTGAACTTCCTGAGCACTTACATGGACCATGAGTATTCCATCAAGTCTGTCCAGATCTCCACTCTTATGCGCCAGCTGCAGCAGGTTAAGGACAGCCAGCAGGTAGGGGAGCCCCTGCCCCTCTCCCACCAGACTGTGTGGGAGGCAGGACTGGTGACCAACACCCTTCTGCTGGCTCCCAGGATGAGCTGGATGACCTCGGTGAGATGCGCAGAAAGGTCCTGGAATCCTTGTCTGACAAGATTCAGAAGAAGAAGAAAAAAATTCTGAGTTCTGTGGTGGCGGTGAGTAGCCAGTTGCTGTGTGGGAGCGGGGATCCAGGTCTCACCCCCACCCCGCCCTCTTCCCCATCCTCTGCCTCCAGGCCCACTGCAGCCCCATCGGTCTCTACCATGTTCTGCTGCCCAGGAAGAGGCACCTGGGGGCCAGACCTCTTCTTCCTCCACAGGAAACCCAGCGTCCCTATGAAGAGGCTCTCCTACAGAAGATGTGGGAAAGCCAGGACTTCCTGAAATGCATGCAAAGGTTCAGAGAAGTGCGTGGGCAAGGAAGGTGGTGGTCCCTGTAGGGAAGCAGTGGATGGGCAGTCCCCACGGCCTGTGGGAATGAGTCAGGCTTCTCCTGATCTGGCGCTCAGGAGGTCTCTGACTCTGGTGTTGGCCTCCCTCCTTGCCGGTGCCATTACTGTCACTTGTCTTTCATCTGGGAAGGCGATTGGCACTGACCTAGGCCTTGCCTCATTAGCCAGCAATGCTGGCTAATGACCCATTTACAACCATCACCAAACATCACCTATTCAGCCATTAACCACCGTGCATCTTTACCCCTTGATTCTTGTTACTGCCCACCACCCATTATCAGTGTTAATGAACTTCACCATCACTGCCTTCTTGAATTAATTTTCATTATCTTGCCTCTTCACTGGTTTTTAATGTGTATGCCCTTCACTATCTCTGCCAGCCTCCATTCATTCCCATGATTGAGCATTCCCCGCCACTTTGTAACCTGTCTCCATTCTCCATGATCCCTCACCTGTTTCAGCACCACTGAATATTGTCACTAACTTGGAAGCCAGCCGCACCTTGCATGGGGAAGTCCCCTCCCTGGAGTCCAGCAAGTCCCAGTGACAGAACCCATACCATTTCCCCAGATAGCTTTGCTCCTCGTTCATTTTGGCCTTTCTCCCTTTGGTTGGGGGCCATTTGCCTCTCCCTTCTCCCCTGCTGTGCCTTTCCTCTCAGATTATTGACCAGTTTGAGGAGAACATGCCTGTATTAAGGGCCGAGGTGGAAGAGCTCCAAGCCCAGACCCGGGAACCCCGAGAGGTCATATTTGAGGATGTTCTGCTTCGGAGACCCAAGTATGTGATCTTTTTGCCACTGCCTCTTAAACCAGTCACACTCTGAGCTCACGGAGGCTCTCTGTTCTTGGGGAAGGCAGCCTGGTGTGGATGGCAGAACCCTGTACAGGGAGGGAGGGGCGGTCCTGGGTTTCCACCTTGGATCTGCCACTGACCAGGGGCAGATGTGACCTTTCCCATCTCTGCAAAGGCCTCCAATTCCCATCTGTACACAGCAGGCTGGGTGGTGTAATCTCTAAGGGCCCTTCTAGTTCCCAGATCCCATGTGTCAACCAAGTGGGTACAGCCTTCCACTTCTGGGTTTTTGAGGAAGGCAGAGTTGAGTGGGGTGGTTGGCTTCAGGGAAGAATAGCCTGGAAGACACTCTACAAGGAGAGAAGTCTGTCCTGTTCACTTGGCAGGTTTCTGGGCCCCAGAAACCAATTCTTTGCCTGCCCTTCCTTGGGGCAAGCCCTCTGCGGTTGGGTTGGGGGTCCCCCAGGCTTACCTCTCCTTGATGACACCACAGGACCATGTGTGGCAGAGCCTAGCATTTGCAAATTCTTTAATTTTTCTTCTTCATCTGTCTCTCCCTCCTGTCGTTTTCCTTCCTTCTCCTCTCCTATCGCCATTTCTTCCTTTTCTTCTATTTCTAAACCGCCCCCCGCCCCCAAAACAAAATACTATTGGATTTATGAAGTGCCTCTGAATGCCAGGCACCATGTGAATGAGAACAGTCCTTGGTCCCGCCCTCATGGAACTAAAGAGGGAACTGGACATGAGTCGATAATGAGCCACAAATAAATGTGGAGTTGCAGCAGAGCCCAGAGCTGCTGAGTAGAGTACATGCCACTGCAAAAGTGACTCTTAGGAGCTGGGTGCAGTGGCTCACGCCTGTAATCCCAGCAATTTGGGAGGCCAAGGCCGGTGGATCACGAGGTCAGGAGTTCAAGACCAGCCTGGCCAAGATGATGAAACCCTGTCTCTACTAAAAATACAAAAACTAGCTGGGCATGGTGGCGGGTGCCTGTAATCCCAGCTACTCGGGAGGCTGAGGCAGAGAATTGCTTGAACCTGGAAGGCGGAGGTTGCGGTCAGCCGAGATTGTGCCACTGCATTCCAGTCTGGGTGACAGAGCGAGACTCCATCTAAAAAAAAATTTTTTTTTAATTAAAAAAAAAAGAAAAAAGAAAGCAACTGTTAGGACAGCAAGTCTGGGCAGTCAAGGAAGGTTTTCCTGAGGATGTGACATTTGAACTGAGGCTTGAAGGATGCATAGAAATTCACTAGGTGAAAGAGACTGATGGGGGAGCTGAAGGAAGAGCAATTCTAGGCGGTGGTGCCAGGGTCTCCGGGGGACGTAATAAATAGTCACTTGTCTTTACCTGAACTCTGAACACAGTGAATGAGACTGAAAGGGGTAAGGTGCATGTGGGCCAGGTTATCACCTTTATTCTGGTAAAGCTGATTTTAGAGACTGTGTTGGCCTCTGAATAGTGAACCCAGAATTAGGCAAATTGAACCACCCGATCATGGTGGAGCTGGACCCACGTGGAGCCAGGCCTTGGGGCAGAGAAGAGTGGAGTCCTTTCGGGTTTCTTGCTGCTGAGAGAGAAAGGGACTGGGCTCCCTGTGTCCCCTTCCTCTCCTCACACTCACCATTCTGGTGGTCATACCCCCTTTCCAAAAGCAGAATTTAAGGGGGCAGAGAGAGGCCAGGAGCAATACACTCATGGATGCCCTTCCACGTGGAAGGGAACACCAGGAGCAAGGAAGCACATTTTCCCTCCTAAAAAGTAGAAATGGCACACTGTTAAGCAGAGCCTCTCCAACTGGAACATGCCCAGGAAACACCTGGAGATCGCGTTAAAAAGCAGATTCCAAGTCAGTAGGTCTCAGTGGGGCTCATGAATCTACATTTCTTTTTTCTTTTCTTTTCTTTCTTTCCTTCCTTCATTCCTTCCTTTCTCTCTTTTCTTTTTCTTTCTTTCTTTCTCTCTCTGTCTTTCTCTTTTCTTTCTTTTTCTTTCTTCCTTCTTTCTTTCTTTCCCCTCCCTCCCTCCCTCCCTCCCTCCCTCCCTCCCTTCCTTCCTTTCTTCCTTCCTTCTTCTTGAGACAGAGTCTAGCTCTGTCTCCCAGGCTGGAGTGCACTGGCACCATCTCAGCTCACTGCAACCTCCGCCTCCTGGGTTCAAGTGATTCTCTTGTCTCAGCCTCCCGAGTAGCTGGGATTACAGGTGTGCACCACCATGCCTGGCTAATTTTTATGTTTTTTAGTAGAAACGGGGTTTTGCCATGTTGGCCAGGCTGGTCTCAAACTCCTGACCTCAAGTGATCTGCCTGCCTTGGCCTCCCAAAGTGCTGGGATTACAGGTGTGAACCACCATGCCCAGCCTGATTCTGCATTTCTAAGAAGCTACCCGGTGATGCTTATGTTACTGCTCTATGAACCAACCACATGTTGAGCCTTGAGCTGTGAAGGAGCTATGGTTGGAAGGAACTTGGCATTGACACGGAGCTGAGTGAGGCCAGAGTGGTTGGAATGCAGAGTGACAGGGAGAGTGGCGGGAAGGGAGCAGGGCAACTCAGCCCCTAGGGACCTCCATGCAGTGCCCTGTAGGCCCAGATGTTCTGCCTGATCCCAGAAGCAAAGGATCTTAAGCCACATGATCAGATTTGTATTCCAAAAAAGTCAGTTTGAAAAGAGCATGGTGGGCTGGGTGTGGTGGCTCATGCCTGTAATCTCAGCGTTTTGGGAGGCCAAGGTGGGAGGATTGCTTGAGCCCAGGAGTTCAAGACCAGCTTGGGCAACATGGTGAAACCCCATCTCTACAAAAAATACAAAAGTTAGCCAGGCGTGGTGGCGTGCGCCTGTAGTCCCAGCTGCAGTGAAGGCTAAGGCAGGAGGATTGCTTGAGCCCTAGAGACAGAGGTTGTAGTGAGCCAAGATGGTGCTACTGCCTTCCAGCCTGCTTAATAGAGCAAGACTCTTTCTTAAAAGAAAAGAAAAGAGCATGGGGATGAGATTGGCAAGGAGCCAGAATGGCAGCTGGAATTCTAGTGGGTGTGAGGGCAGTTGTCCAGGGGAACATGGGAAGTGGCCTGGCCAAGAGTGTGGCAGAAGAAATGGGAGAAATAGATAGATTGGAGAAATATTTAGGAAAGTAAGAAGGACTTGCATGACTTGGGAAGTACAGGAAAGGGAGGTATCAAGAATAACCCCTGGGTTCCTGACTTTTATAATGGGGTGGTGGTGATGTCAAATGCAGAGATTGGGAAGGCTGGGGCGGGGTGAGGGATGTGTATGTAGGCACAGTCAAAAAGTTTATTTGGAGGCAGGCATGGTGGCTCACACCTGTAATCCCAGTGCTTTAGGAGGATGAGGAAGAAGGATCGCTTGAGGCTGGGAGTTCGAGACCAGGGGGACAACATAGTGAGACCTCCATCTCTACAAAAAATTAAAAAATTAGCCAGATGTGGTGGCACGTGCCTGTGGTCCCAGCTATTTGGGAGGCAGGAGGATCGATTGAGGAGTTCCAGGCTGCAGTGAGCTGTGATTGCACCACTGCATTCCAGCCTGGGTGACCGAGTGAGACCATGTCTCAAACAAAACAAAACAAAACAAAAACCATACAGTTGACTTGGACAGTAAGTTTGATTTATATGAGGTGCCAAGGTGGAGTCATTGGGTGGGCAATTGACAAGATGAGTGTAGACCTCAGAGGACAGATATTGGCTGGAAGTAGAAATTTAGGTGTTGCCAGCATAGAGATGAACTTTTTTTTTTTACTATTATTATGAAAAATTTCAAATATAAAGAAGAGAGAATGATATAATGAATAGCCAGTTTTGCCCATCTAGATTTAGAAATTTTTTTTTTTTCTATGTTGGTTTCATGTTCATTTTTTTAATAGTATTTGTAAATTGCAAGTATCCTGACATTTCCTGCCTAAATACTTCATGTGTATCAGCAGATTATTGAAACCATGAGAGAGGATGGTCTCCTTGGAAGAGAGAAAAGAGAGTGAAACAGAATGTAATCCTTCAGCCTCTTAAATATTTGTGCTGGTCCCTGCAATGGGGAATATATTGCTGATGGGAATCCATCTCTCTTGCTACTTTCATGGAAATAATAATGCCTGTCATTTACTGAGCACTTATTACCTGCTGGCATGGTCTCATTTAATCTTTCCACCAATGACTGAGGTTAGAATATTAAACCCATTTGACAGATGAGGAAACTGAGGCTCACTTGGGGTCTGGGACTTAATGAGTGCTTTTCACTTAAGTGCCAACTGAAGGAGTGAGGCTGGGAGAGTAGAAATAGCTTGCTCAAGGTGACACAGGTCAAAGTTATCAAACCTGTCATCCTCACTCCAAAGCCAGTGATCATCTTGAGGGCCCTCAGCATTTCAGAGCTGAGTTCCTGCTCCCTCTTGACCTCAGACTTGTCAGGGGAACATTTGTCCTGCCAAACTCATTTCTTTTCCATTTTTGATGTGTGTGTATGTGTGTGTGTGTGTGTGTGTGTGTGTGTGTGTGTGTATGCTTGTGTATGCACAGTTGGGCTTTGAGGTCACAGATAGATCACAGATTGTATTTTGGGATTGCCCCCCAACCCAAGTACGTACCAGAGTTCTAAAGAGCAGGGCTCCTCTGAGTGGGTGCTCCCACACCGCCACCTCTGGTCTCTCATGGCCTTCTGTGCTGCCTCCCACCAGGTGCACCCCAGACATGGATGTCATCCTCAACATTCCTGTGGAAGAGCCACTACCCTTCTAGATGGCAGTGCCATGGGCCGCCCTCCCCTCCTGCTCTCTTCCCAGCACCTGGAGCCTTGGATCATTTACTTCCAGGACCGGATCTCCATTCAGACCCTGATCTACAGTCTCCCTGCTCCCTCTGCCCTTCCTCCCTCTTTCTTTCCCTCCCTCCCTCCCTCCCTTCTTCCCCCCTTCCCTTCCCTCCTCCTTCCTTCCTCCTCTCCCTCCCTCCCTCCTTTCTTTCTTCCTGTGGTTTTTTCCTCTCTTCTTCCCTTCTTTCTGGTTGGTGCTGCTGGGCCAGGTGGGAATTTCTGATTAAATCTGCTATTCCTTTTTTACCAATAAAGCTGGATTTACATTTGCTTTTTTGCCAGTGTCTCGGGGTCCCCAGCTAGGTCTTGCAGAAGATGTGGTGGGAACGGACTTCGTCTTATGATAAGGGGCGGGCAACTGTGCTAACTGCATCTGGGGCTCAAAACTTCTCCAGAAGAAGTGCTGGAGCAACCCCCTGCCTGAGTCTCCATGGCTCAGTGGCTCTGGGCCACTCCCTCCTGGTGCAGTGGGAGCCCAGCTTCTCTCCAATCTGTGCCCAGACCTATTGAGGGCATTGTCGGGGCTGACAGGCTTATTGATTTTAATACCCCTGGAACTTGCTAGGCCTTCAGTGCTTGGAACAACTCAGAAGGGCTACTCTGGCTCCAGAACTTCCTGAAGGCTCAGCTGCAACTACCCTTGGGCCTGCACTGCAGCTGAACTTCTCCCTGTGCCCAATCCTGCATATTTCTGTCTTCCTCAGTTGTTGATTCCAAGAGCACTCATTACTCAACATTCTGCACCCTACACTCCATCTCAGAGTTGGCCTTTCTGGGCCAACTACTAGATTGCTACAACCCCCAAGAGGCTCTGGTCACTCACAGATCCACTTTGTGTTAAGATACTTGGTTACAGGTAACAAAACAACCAAATCACATTGGCCTAAACTATGAAGGGCTCAGGTCAATAAATAGCTTAGGTGAGGCTTTGTCCAGAAATCAAGTGATGGCACCAAGGACTTGGTTTCTATTTATCTACTTTGTTTTCTGAGGTGTTGCCCTTTTCTTCAGGTCAGCACTGCTTGTGGCCCCAATATGCCAGCATCTCCCAGGGTTGTACAGGTCCTTGTACATGTCCTGTTGGAAAGAGAGAGACTGGCTGTGTCCCAGAATTTTCAGCCAGTGTATTAAGATTCACTGTAATTGGGCTGGGCACAGTGGTTCACGCCTGTAATCCTAGCACTTTGGGAGGCCGAGGTGGGTGGATCACTTGAGGTCAGGAGTTCGAGACCATCCTGGCCAACATGGCAACACCCTGTGTCTACTAAAAATACAAAAATGAGCTGGGCGTGGCAGCAGGCACCTGTAATCCCAGCTACTCAGGAGGCTGAAGCAGGATAATTGCTTGAACCTGGGAGGCAGAGGTTGCAGTGAGCTGAGATTGTGCCACTGCTCTCCAGTCTGGGTGATGGGGGATGAGACTCCGTCTTTAAAAAAAAAAAAAAAAGATTCATTCTAATTGAACCAGCTTATATTACACGCCCACCTTGAGCCGGTGTTGGAGGTGGAGCGTGCCTGCTGGTTTAGTTCAGGTCACGGGCTCTACCTTGGAGCAGGGAAGGGATGGTTAAGGTGGAACACGTGACCTAGGCTGAGCCAACAGGTACTCCCCAGAGCCATGTGGATCTCCAAGCAGAAATGGACCCTGTTGAACACAATAGCAAACACTTCAATGGAACCTACGTTATGCTTTACATACATCAACTCACTACACCCTCACAACAACCACCCTGTGAAGTAGGTATTGTTTATTGTTATTTTCATTTTACAGATGAAGAAACCAAAGGATGAAAAGGCAAAGTGATTTTTCAAGTCACCAGGTTACTAAGTGGCAGAGGCAGTTTGCTCTTAACCACTGTACAATCAGGAGCTCAGCTGAGCAGGAGAGAGCTGAACTGCTAAGTGCTGGAGTAGCTGATTAATGATGGCCCGGCATGGTGGCTCAGGCCTGTAATCCTCACACTTTGGGAGGCTGAGGCCAGTGGGTTGCTTGATCTCAGGAATTTGAGACCAGACTGGACAACATGGTGAAACCCCATCTCTATAAAAAATATAAAAATTAGCTGGGCATGATGGTGTGCACCTGTAGTCCTAGCTACTAGGGAGACTGAGGTGGGAGGATTGCTTGAGCCCAGGAGGCGGAGGTTGCAGTGAGCCGAGATCGCACCACTGCACTCCAGCCTGGGTGACAGAGCGAAACCCTGTCTCAAAACAAAAAAAGTCAAAGCAAGTAATAGCCAAGCCCCAAATCTCTTATTATTACAGTACAAGAAAGAGGCTAAACCAGAGAACCTGGTTTGTTTTATTTTGTAGAACACAGATCCACCTGTTCTAATTTCCTCATAGAATGATGCCAACTGGGGTCGGGTGGATGAGCACAGGTGTGGGGTTGGTCTCACTGCAGAAAAGCTTCCAACAAAAAGGCTCCTGAAGTTGTACGGACCTGGGGGCCAGGGATGGGGTGGGGAAGGGAGAGTGGGAAAACTTCTGAGTCAGCATGGAGGAAAGTGTCTTCAAGGATTCTCCACTCCCCAAGATAAGGAGGTCCTGGCCGAAGGCCTACCCCACTGCAATGAAGACGTGTCTGAATGAAGACTTGGGTTGGGAGCGGAGATGTGTGTGAGAGGTCGACTGTCCAGGAGGCCTGAGTCTGTGTCTGCAACTGTCTTTAAAGACTGCAACGCATCAGCTGTGCACGACTCAGCTGTGAGGCCTGCCAGGTAAAACCTGTCATTGCCTGTGTTTGGGCTGAAAAATCACACATAGGTTTTTAGCCAGGAGCTGGACTGTTTGTGAAGGGATGCATGAGTTCAGAGGAGGAAAACCAAGAAAGGAAGCCTGGACATAGGTTCCCTCGCATTGCACGTAGCCCTCATGCCTCCGAATGCGCCAGAGAGTGACCCCGCACATGTACAGCATCTGTACATGGGTGTCTTCCCAGGTACTCAGAGCCGCGTGCGCAGCTCTCACAGGCAGATACACCTGCATGCACATGCACATGGATGCATACTGGGACTGTTTCTTTTCTTTTTTTCTTTTTTGAGACGGAGTCTTGCTCTGTCGCCCAGGTTGGAGTGCAGTGGCACAATCTCTGCTCACTGCAACTTCTGCCCCCGGGTTCAAGCGATTCTCCTGCCTCAGCCTCCTGAGTAGCTGGGATTACTGAGGCCCGCCACCATGCCCAGCTAATTTTTGTATTTTAGTAGAAACGGGGTTTCACCATGTTGACCAGGCTGGTCTCCAACTCCTGACCTCAGGTGATCCATCCGCCTTGGCCTCCCAAAGTGCTGGGATTACAGGCGTGAGCCACTGCTCCCGGCCCATCTATCATTCTTTATTGGAGTACCGGAGGGCAGCAGGAGTGAGAAAGAAGAGGTTTATGGGAACCCGAGGTTGAAGGGGAAATCAGCACTGGATATCACCTTTAATGGGAAGGACAGGCAACTGGGACGTCTCCAGAGCACTTAATAAGCTGTAGAGGTACTATTTAGATGACCAGACATTATTATTATTTTTAATGTAGTTTTTATTTTTATAGATTTACGGGGTACAAATACATATATTGCATAGTGGTGGAGTGGGCTTCTAGTGCCCCATTACCCGGATAGTGAATGTTGCACCCAATAGGTAATTTTTCAACCCTCACCCCTCTCCGCCTCCCATCGTTTGTAGCCTCCAATGTCTATTATTCCAATCTATACCACACATTACTTTTTAATTTTAGTAGGAGTTGGTTGAAAACCCTATTCTGGGGCTCAGTGAGTCCGGCTAATTGGGTAAATGGAAGTTTCATGGAATTTCCTGTTCCCTAAGGCCCGTGTCTGTGTATCTTGTGAAGTGTGAGTCTTGGCCTGGATCTCTTGTGTCTGGGACGCCAGTAGACATTGGGAGGTCTTTGGCAGGGCCCTGAAAAGTGTCTGGTGCGCCCGTTTGGCCAGCGCGTGCGACCTCCAGGGCGCGGGTGTACCGAGTGCTGCCGGCAGATGGCGGTAGAGACTGGCACAAATCAATCAGCCTCGAGGGCGGGCTGCGGGGCGTGGGGGAGCGGTGCGGAATGCGTCCTGGTCGTGAGTCGCCAGGGGCGCATTTTACGGCAGAATCCGCACCTGGAGATGACCATGTTGGCCCTTAGTGTGGCGAAAGAGAGAGAGAGGCCTTTGTTCTGCGCGCATTGCGAGTGCCCAGTCCCTGCCTACGCGAGCTGGCTTTGAGCCCCCTCTCCCAGCGTTCAGCTCCTGTCCCCATTTCTACTCCCTCCAGCCTTCTTTCTTCGCGCCAGCCAAGCTTATCTCCCGCCCGGTCTTTGCAGGGCCGGTGGGTCATCAGCTTTGCATGTTGTCCTCAAGGTCTTCACGTGGCCGGCTTATCGTGCAGTCACAGCTCTTTTCCCTTCTTAGAGAGGTCCTGCCTGACCACCATTTCTAACCAGGTTCTTCCTCCCCATCACTTTCCATCTATCACTCTGTTTTATTTTCTTTGTAGCTGTGATCACTACCTGATTTTACACATTCATTTTGTTAATGTTTATTACACATTCTGCTAGGTGAAATGAGTCAAACACAGAAAGACAAATACTTCATGTTCTCACTTACACATGGAATCTAAAACAATTGAGCTGTAGTCAAAAACCACCAGGGATCATGACAGACGGGAGGCAGGACTAGATTGCAGCTCCCACTCGGACGGTCAGAGCAGCGTGTGGAGGCTCGCATCATTAAGTTTTGCTTCAGAAGGACTGCAGGAACGCATTAGGGAAGCCAGGAGAACCCACAGACCCTCTGAAGGAAACGGATTGCTCCTTGAGGAGGGCTGCCAGAGGCCCAGAGCGGCCACAGGGAGAAGGAAACCTCCAGCTGAACTTTGTAACAATTTGAACTGATCAAGAAGCCTCCTGGCCAGAACTCAGAAAAGAACCTATTTGTCCTAATGCTCTCCCTTCCCTTTCCCCCACACCCGAACTTTATGCATTTTAACATGTTTATTAGATTCACCGAATCGCTTAGCCTTTTGGAACTCCCTCGAGTTACATTTTTAAAGTCACTTTCCCCTTTCTCAAGCCCCTAGCAGGCTGAGCTCTTATCTGCGGCTTCTGGGGAAGAATCAGCTTCCAAGCTCATTCAGGTTGTTGATAGAATTCAGTTCCTTGCACGTGTAGAATTGAAGACCCCACTTCCTTGCTGGCTGCCACCTGGGGGCTGCTTTCAGCTTCTAGGGGCCATCCATGTTCTTCCTCATGGGCCCCTGCATCTTCAAGCCACTATACCATTTTCATTTATTTATTTATTTATTTAAGATGGAGTCTTGCTCTCTTGCCCAGGCTGAAGTGCAGTGGCATGATCTCAGCTCATTGCAACCTCTGCCTCTCAGGTTCAAGCAATTTCCGGCTATTTTTTTGGTATTTTTAGTAGAGGTAGAGTTTCACCATGTTGGCCAGGCTAGTCTCGAACTCCTGACCTCAAGTGATGCACCCACCTTGGCCTCCCAAAGTGCTACCATTACAGGCATGAGCCACCGTACCCGGCATCATTATACCATTTTCAATATTCAATTGAAATATTCAATTTCATAATAGCATTTTAGCTTTAGTGGTTAAAATCTGCCTGGAAGTAGATTAACAGTACAACCTCTTAAGATATTTTCCCTTTTCCTACTCCTTTTCCTCCTTCTCTCCTTTCCAAGGCCAATAACACAGTGTACAATCATCCTTCAAATAAGATTTAAAATTATTTTTCTTCTTCTTCTTTGCAGGGAAAAAAAACTAGCAAAGAAACATGAATAAACTAAGCATATACCTATTAAAAAGTTATTGAGGCCAGGCGCGGTGGCTCACACCTGTAATCCCAGTACTTTGGGAGGCCAAGGCGGCAGATAATGAGGTCAGGAGTTCGAGACCAGCCTTGCCAACATGGTGAAACCCCATCTCTACTAAAAATACAAACAATAGCTGGGCATGGTGGCCGGTGCCTGTAATCCCAGCTACTCAAGAGGCTGAGGCAGGAGAATCATTTGAATCTGGGAGTCGAAAGTTGCAGTGAACCGAGATCGTGCCATTGCACTCCAGCCTGGGTGACAAGGCAAGACTCCGTCTCAAAAAAAAAAAAAAAAAAAAAAACCAAAAAAGTTATTGAGATTGAGCATATTTAAAGCTGGATTTTCATCTTTTCAAGCATTACATGCTGGTCACAATAACTGTTTCAGTCAGCTTTAAGGCTGCTCCTTGCAGCAAAATGAAAAGACAAGAGGAAAAGAAAAGGAAAGAATTCGTTAAGTCTTTTCATAGGAGAATTGCTTACCTAAATTAACATAGAAGTTTAAGTTATAGCTCTTGAGAATTTATATTTTAATATTTTATATTAATATTTTGTAAGAGCCACTTTTGTATAAAAGTTCTCTATTATCTTCATATACTGAATAAGTTTGTCCTACCAAATGATATTTTTGTGATTGCATCTTTTACTTTCTGATTTCTAAAATTAACATACAGTAAAAAAGATGACATTTGGGTGTACGGTTGCACGAGTTTTCACCACCAGCATGATCAGGGTGCAGTTCTATCACCTCCCCAAATTCCCTTGGTCTCCTGGACCACCACAGAGAGGAATTCTTTTATATTCTGCCTAGGAAATCAAAGCTTGGCTGACAGGCCAGTTGAAGCTGAGGGTAGAGGGAGCAGCCATCTTGCAGTCCAACAGGTATTCTTTCAGTCCTTGCATGTTAACATTAAAAGGCTTTCATTATATATTAAAAGCCTATTTATTTTATTTTATAAAATAAATAAATAATTAAAACCATAAGGAAAAACAGTTTCATTGATACATGAAATTTAGGTCAATTGCTTCCTCGAGACACAATCCCCAAATCGTTGGTAGTGCTGTCAGTGGTAAACTATTAAAGGATGCAACACGACCCCTGGGAAAGACAGGATGCTGTACCTCATTTCTACCCCTTCATCCACACTGAAGGGAGGGAGACAGAACTGAGAAGACTCCTACTGCCATTCATGGCACCCAGGCTGTAGGTGCCGAGCTGCCCTCAGCCCCACCTCGGCTTTCCTCCTATGCTCGTCAGCACCCGAGGTCTGTAGGGGTCCGAGGCGGCAGGGGGCTGGTATGTCAGCACTGCCCCAAGCGTGTGCACACCCAACAGGCTATGACAGCACCTGGGCTTGGCCTCAACTTTGCTCCAAGATTAGAGCGGGCACCGACAGCAGGGAGGCGCCAGGCTGTGGGAGCAGGCACTTCTAAGCTTGTGAGGGCAGTGGGGACTTCCCTGACCCTCAAGAGTGTAGAGATGTCTGGTTCCGCAGCCATGGTTTGGGCGCCTGCAGCTGCACCCAAAAGTGCAGGACCCCTGCCTGCTCCCAGCACCCACAAGAACACAGGGAGGCCGGGGTTCACAGCCGTGACTTGAGTGGCTGCAGTTGCACCTGGGGAGCTCCTGCTGCACCAGCTTGGAAGGTGTGGGGCTCTCATTGTCCCCAGCTCTGCAGCTCTGTGGAATGTGCAGCCCCAGCTGTCCCTCCCTGCTGCAGCTGGCTTGATGGCAGCGTCCACTCCAGATGGGCTGCCACTGCCATCACCAGCTACTTGGGAGGCTGAGGCACGAGAATCACACACACACACACACACGCACACACACACACACACACACACACCCCAGCTGGTGTCTCACTAGGTTGAGTGGTCCCTAAATCTACTGCCTCTGAGCCCAGCACAGCACTAGCAGTTGCCTAGGAATTGCAGTTCTTGTGGCCTATACGGCCTTTCAAGTTTATTTAGGACCCCAGAGCTCTTTAGCCCACGGTGGTGAGGCTTGCGGAAACTGGAGTTCCGACCTCTGGGATGGGTGATGTCCCCCTGGCTAGGGATGGTCTAAATGATCCCTTTTAGGCACCTGCTGGGTTCTGCCTGGTGCTAGCAGCACTGAGTTCCAATGTGAAATCCCACAATCACTGTGCTCTCCCTCCTGCAAGTACACATATTGTCTCTGCACACCACACAGCTGCTGCCTGAGGACTGGGGAGAGGCGGTGTCAGCAATTCAGGACTGTCTTTCCTACCTTCTCAGTGCCTCTTTAGGTGATATGAAGTTAAAGCTAGGTACTGTGATCACTCACCTCATTTTTTATTCTTATGAAGGTGCTTTTTTGTGTAGATAGTTGTCAAATTTGGTGTTCTAGTGGGGAGGATGATCAGTGGAGGCTTCTGTTCAGCCATCTTACCCCACTGCCTCTTCACTACTTTAAACTATGCTGCTATGATTGTGCTGTATATACATTAATCTTTTTGATATGAACTCTAATTATTTCCCCAGAATATATCCCTAAAAGTAGAGTCTCTGAGCCACAGAACATGAACATTTTTAAGGGTTTTGAAAGCTGTATAGATAAATGTCTTCCAGAATGGACATATTTAGTTATAAACCGGAGCATCTGATGATGAGACTTATTTCTATTTATGCCTTGTCAGACTTGGGTTTGTTAATTCTCTGACAATCCGATAGGTAAAAAACAAGATCTCATTGTAGTTTTAATCTGCATTTATTTGATCACAGTCACACAGATTTTTTCCCATTTTTCAGGCCGTTTATAGAGTTAAAAAGCTAGTTCATGTTACTTTTTCATTTTCTGCTAGGGGTTTCATGTTTTCCCTGTTGCTTCATGTTAACTTGTTATATTTTATTGGTATCGATACTTCATCACATGTCTCAGTTTGTCATACGTCTTTAAACTATTTATGATACTTTAATATTTCTGTTTCACTGTGAGATTTATTTATTTTATTAAAATAATAGCTTTTTTGGAAGTTTAAATTGACATACAATAAACTGAACACATTTAAAGTTTACCATTTTGTAATTTTTTGACTTATGTACACCCCCATTAAGCCATTACCTCAATCAAGATTATGAATGTATCTTTTTTTTTTTTTTTTTTTGAGACAGTCTCGCCCTGTCGCCCAGGCTGGAGTGCAGTGGCGCGATCTTGGCTCACTGCAAGCTCCACCTCCTGGGTTCACGCCATTCTCCTGCCTCAGCCTCCCGAGTAGCTAGGAATACAGGCGCCCACCACCACACCCGGCTAATTTTTTGCATATTTAGTAGAGACGGGGTTTCACCGTGTTAGCCAGGATGGTCTTGATCTCCTGACCTCGTGATCCACCTGCCTCGGCCTCCCAAAGTGCTGGGATTACAGGCATGAGCCACCGCGCCCGGCCTATGAATGTGTCTTGACTGATCACCCCTCAAAGTGTCCTCAGGTCCCTTTACATTCTTTCAGCCCTCTCCATGCACCTTTCACATCCCCTGACAACCAGTGATCTGCTTTCTGTCGTTAGATTCTTACTTTCTATTTTAAATAATTGTATGCAATTTTAAAAGAATTTAAAGAACTTTATGTAAATAGAATCATACAGAATATACTTTTTTGATAACTAGTTATTAAAAAAATGCAAATTGAAAGCATAATGAAATACCACTACACATCTATTAGAATGATGAAAATGCAAAAGACTGACCATATCACATGCTGGTGAGGATGAGGAACGGCTGGAACTTTCACATCCTGCTGATGGGCACATCCACTGGCACAACCATTTTGGAAAACAATTTTGTATTTCCTTTAAAAGCTAAACATTCTCATGCCTGTAATCTCAGCATTTTGGGAGGCCAAGGCGGGCGGATCACCTGAGGTCAGGAGTTCGAGGCCAGCCTGACCAACATGGAGAAACCCCGTCTCTACTAAAAATACAAAAATTAGCCGGGGTCGGGGGGTGGTGCGTGCCTGTAATCCCAGCTACTCAGGAGGCCGAGGAAGGACAATTGCTTGAACCCAGGAGGCGGAGGTTGCAGTGAGCTGAGATCGCACCATTGCACTCCAGCCCGGGCAACAAGAGCGAAACTCTATCTCAAAAAACAAACAAACAAACAAACAAACAAACAAACAAACAAAAAAGCTAAACATTCACCTACCATATGATTCAGACGTTCTACTCCTAGGTATTTACCTTAGGGAAATGAAAGCATACATCCATACAAAGATTTGTACATAAATGTTCATAGAAGCTTTATTTGTAATAGCCATAAACTGGGAACAACCCAAATGTCCATCAACAAACCAGTATACAAATGAATACTATTCATATGACGGAAGAGTATTTATAAACAAAAAGGAATGAACTCCTGCAATACCCAATAAGATGGATGAATTTCAAAATGATATCTTTTGACATACATAAGAACTTAATATTTAATACCACCTAATCAATTTATTCTTACATGAGTTCTGCCTCTATTGTTATATTTATAAGAATTTCCTTGCTCTTAAATTGAATATTTGACCACACAATCTTTTAATACTTTACTTTTACACTGTCATTTTAAAACCATCTAGAATTAATTTTGGTCTAAGACATAAGTTAGGGAATGGGCATTAACATCTTTTCTTATCTGGTTTGCTAGTTTTTAGGACCGTTTTTAATTATTTAGGCCTGAGTGTTTTGGTTTGTTCTTCTCAGATAGAAGTCAGTACGTGTCAAATAAATGTTATATAAAACTAATGGGCATCGAACTGTAAGAGGAAATTTATGCATAATTCTGCTTTCCAACCAAACAAAAAAGTCATAATTTTCATGAGTTTTGTATCATATAAGGAGACAATTTTGACAACTATAGCATAAATGCAATTTTGAATAATGTTATTATGTTCCATTATTCTATAAACATTCTATTTGTTTGTATTTATAGATGGCATTAGTATATATTTCACCATTTAGATTTTTTCATTTTCTCAGCATTTTAAATAATATTATATGGAAAACCTTTGTGCCCATAACTTTGTGCTTCTCTTGGATAATTTATGATGAGCCAATTCCCAGAAGTAATGTTTAGTGGATTAAGCAATTAGAGTTCTGCTTCTCTGTGCTTATTTCCACACAGCTTCCCAAGAGGATTATGCCAATTTGACACCATGAGTAGGCACGTTTGAGTCACCAGCATCATGCCATCCTTGCTTTTGGGGTGTACTACCAATGGTGGCTATGTATTCTGTCTGCTTTGTTACTCAAATGAATAAATAAATACCTCACAAGTCAGTCTACCTAGCTGGCCAAACCTAGACTTTCAGCTCCTTTCTCTCCCTCCTTATACTCCGTGGCAGCCATGGGGGTGCACTGTTTAGATTTCCTTTCAAGAGAACTTGCTTCAAGGGGATAGTTGGTGGACAGCCTCATACTTCCAGACCTATGGTAGCAGTCACCCCATGTTCTCCAGGGGCTGTTCTCAGCCAAAGTCTGAACCCCTGGGATATGAGAACCTGGCTATTCCTGCCCTGCGTGAGCTCCTCTGAGGGGCAAGCCTTGCTTTGGGCCTCCCCATCTGTTTGGCTGAGACTTTCTTAGAGCTGCAGTCTTAGTCTCCTTCTATTCAATCCTCCTCTATCCCTCTCTCCTTTGACACGTATCAGGCCAGCGTTGCAGTCTGAAGGCTCTCCCTGCCTGTGGCTGCTCTGTCTCACCTTTGTCCATCAGAGGTGTGTTCTCCCAGTCAATCTTTTGCATGTCCAATTCTGTCTTGACATTTTTCATTTGGAGGACCCAAACTGACAGATCCCCTGTGGACGAATCTGCATGATGATTGTTCTCGTAAGATAGATACAAACTCCAAATTAGTTACTAGATGAATGACAGAATGATAGAAGACAGAAGTTTTGGGGTTGGCTATAGATATCTGCCCCATAAAGAGGAGCCTTGGCTAGTACTCAGCAATGTAGGAGGAATTGGAACTGTGGAAATGATATTTCTCTGAGTTGGTGGAGGCGATAGCAGTGGTTATTATGATGTTACGGTCGTTTGTTGCTTCTTGTCTTTCCTTTGTGTGTTTCTTCTCCTTGATTGCCAGTGGTTACCGATGAGCTGTGGTAGGTCAGGCTTCGGCAGGAAGGAGTAGCTGATGCAGCATTTTCTGGAAGCGTTGCACATGAACAATGCTGTCTCCCCCCAGTGGCAACATGTCCTGCAGTATCCTGGGGTGTTACTCACACATTTTGACCCACCTGCACTGGCTGTATGGGAGAGGACAAGACAGAGAAGTCATGGTTAGAAGCAGCACAGGGCTACTAAAGCGTCAGCGCCAGATGGGAGTGTTTGGCTTTTTGTTCTGAGGTGTATCCTTAGGATGTTGTGCAAATGAGACTTGGGAAAGCCAGTGATGAGGAGACAAAAATCTTCCTGGATTGATGGCCTTGGGGAACTCTGTCTGACGAGCTCTTCTTCTTTGCCAGTATCTGCATCTTTGAAGCTTTTTGCTAAATTTGATACTACAGAATAGGATGTATGGGTAAAAACAGGGGTGGGGAGCCTGGTCTTCACGGTCAGGGAGGAGCTTGGATACTCAAAAGGGAGAAATGGGGCTAGTCTCACTCACCCCACAGGCTCCCTTTTAAGGTGTTTCTACCTTACTTGTTTTCATAGACTCTAAAACTGTAAATATGAGTCAACCTGGGGCAAAGTGGGAGGAGTCAAATCTTTCTCCAAAATCATTAAAAAGAAAATAACGGTTGCCAGTGACAGGGCATTTTTGCATTCACCCAGTGCTGTGCACCATTTCACCATCTGCTGAAATCTGTTTGCCTCAGTGCTCTGTGTCTGCCATTGGCTCACAGCAGGGGCCTCTTCGGAGCACCCTCAAGCCTCTTTGGCTTTCTTCACATCCGTTGCCTGGCCCTCCTCTGATCTCTCTCTCTCCCTGCTCTCTGTGTGTCTGTCTCTCTCTCTTTCTGACCCTGCATTATCTCCTAGCCCCAGGGTTTGAGCTGAACCCATTGCTTACCATCCTGTGGGAACTAGCCCTCTAAGAGGTCTGCTTCCATCCCCCACCTGCCAGCTGTCTGTTGAGCATAGGGATGGGAACCTCAATCTCTTCCTTCTAGGCTCAAAATCTCCTTTGAGCTCCAACCCGGGCTGATCTCAATGGATGCACATGGTGATGACAGAAGCCTTCAGTGTGTCTTAGGAGGTTAGATATAAGGAGCTCACATAAAGTGAAAGAAGATATTTTGGTTTAGGTTGAGGGTGACTATCATTTTAGAATAGAAAACAAATTTTTGTAAAGGTTATATAGGGTGGTGTTTGGGTGTGGGATATCAAGGCTAGTGGTGGTTGTTAGGAGATCTCTACCTTAGACTGGAACTCAGTGGGGTGAGCCCTGCCTCCACCCAACCTGGCTCATCTATCACCAGAGCAACCAGATATGCTAGTGTTCCTCGTTCCCAGTTTTCCTTTCCTCCTATTTATCCAGTTTACCTGGGATCACCTGGGTCAGGAATCCGAGGGCTGCCAAGACCAGGAGCAGGAACTTCATGGCTGAAGGGGTGGCTTGGGGAGCTGGTGGTGGTTTAATGGAGTTGGGTCCCTCTGTAATGTGCTTGGAGCTACTGCCTTTATAGGATCCACATGATGCCAGGATACTGGGCAGTGAACCAAGGGAGACTTTTCTGTTACCCAGAGCAGTCAGATTAGATCAGAATGTCTACTGGACTGGAGCCTGGATTGATTTATTGAGCGCCTGTGTTCTAGACTGTTAGGAGGGGGAGAGGTAGAGCAAACAGTGCGTCGGTTCCCAGCGTTCATCTCTAAAACTATGCGTTCTAGACAGTGTTGGTGAGATGTGGGGAAACTAGCATTCTCTTGGCGTTGTTGCTGGGAGTGTTAATTGGTACAGTTTTTCTTTTGTAGCACAATTTGGCAATATATATCAGAAGCCTTAAAATGTGCCTATTTTTTTACTCAGAAACTTTGTACCTTGGGCTTTTGTTTAATGGGAATAATTGAACAAGTACATAAAGACGTTTATCTCAACATTACAGTAACAGAAAACCAAAAGCTACCTAAATGGTGATAAAACATGGATCTAATCTAATATAGAAAATACAGAATATAATAGAGCAGTATGCAGTTATTAAAATGATGAAAATGTATAAAAATGTAGGCTACAAGATATGCATCTAGAATAACTTAATCTGTGGTAAAGGAACATCTATGTGCCAACATATGTAGGTATATATGTATGTAGTATGTATGCATGTGTATCTATCTATCTATCTATCTATCTATCTATCTATCTATCTATCTGTCATCTATCTATCTATCTGTCTAAAATGTCTGAGTTTGGAGAGAATGATTATGTGTACTTTCATGATTAGAAAAAAAGAGAGTTTATAGAAAAACTACTTATTGTTTGAATTTTAATATGAACACTCTTACCTCTAAATTTTTGCTTTCTTTCCCTAGAGTTTAAGGTTTCTGGAGGCTAGAGACTTTGCCATTTCCACATTCTTCTCAAGAAATATTTTGTGTTTTCCTCCCCCCAATAGCGTCCTTTGGAGTCTGTTTCCCATTGAGACAGTTCTTTTCTGTTCCAGCTCACTTTTCCAGAATCCTTTCTCTAATGTGGTGCCTGCTGTATAAGGGAATAATCTCCGGAGTCCTGGTTTGGGCCAACTGAGTAGAGCAGCTCTAGCTTCTCACGTTTTCCTGGTCTAAAAAACCTGGTTTGATTTCAGGCACAAAACAAAACAAAACAAAAGATCTGGGACTTGGTAAGAATATGTCCCAAGACTTTAGCAGTCTTTACAGTCACTCAGATTTGTAAAAATATCTTAAAATCTGTAATTTTTCCAACTAAGTGATGTAAATTATAATCCTAAAATAAATACAAATCCCTTTGTGCCTTTGGTAAACCTATAACCACAGAAGCAAAGGCTTTTGTGTTTCTGTGCGTAGTCTTCAGTGAGTTAATTGTCTTTTTACCCTTCACTTGTTAAGCAATGATGACATTTATTTTCTCCTTGTTTCCATACAGCATGCACAGTCCATTGGATGTCATAAATATAAGTCACTCCAATTTCCTCAACCCATTAAAAAATCTTTTCATTTAAAAATAATTTAAAACATACCGGCTGCAAAATACAAATTGTACGATACCTTTTCCCCAGCTCCCCTGAGATTTGCCTATTGTTGACATTTTATCTTTCTTGCTTTAGCATTTGCCCCACCTCTCTCTATCTATGGATATATATATATCTATATTAGTCTCTCTATATTTGTATATTTTCTTCTTTGAATCTATTGAGCATAAGTTATATGTTCATGGCCTTATATTATCGTGGCCTTTTACTCCCAAATAATTCAGTGTGTATTTCCTAAGAATAGGGATATTCTCCTGTATGACAGTATAGTTACTAACTCCATAAATTTAAATGGACACCACTTTTATCTAGTCTATCATCTATCCATATATATATATATATATATATATATATCTGTATTCCAATTTGCCAATTGACCTAATAATGCCTTTTACAGCATTCATTTCCTCCTTGAGTTGAGATTGCAGTGTCAGGTCAGATATTGTATTGATTTTTAAAATGTATTTTTAAATTAAAATTTTATTTTTAATTGACATAATAATTATACATATTTATGGGATACAGAGTGATATTTCAATACGTGTACACAATGTGTAATGATCAAATCAGGGTACCTCAAACATTTCTCATTTCTTTGTGCGAGAACATTCAAAATCCTCTCTTCTAGCTATTTGAAAATATGCAATAAGTGATTGTTGGCTACAGTCACCCTACAGAGCTATGGAACCCTAGAACTTATTCCTCCTATCTAGCTGTGATTTTGTATTTGTTAAAACCAACCTCTCCGTATCCTCTTCTACCTGCTACATTATTTTACTCTCTACTTCTGAAAGCTCAACTTTTTTTTTTTTTTTTGAGATGGAGTCTCACCCTGTCTCCCAGGCTGGAGTGCAGTGGTGCAATCTTGGTGCACTGCAACTCTGTCTCCCAGGTTCAAGCGATTCTCCTGCCTCAGCCTCCTGAGCAGCTGGGATTACAGGCACCCGCCACCACACCCGGCTAATTTTTGTATTTTTAGTAGAGATGGGATTTCACCATGTTGGCCAGGCTGGTCTCAAACTCCTGGCCTCAGGTGATCCACCCGCCTTGGCCTCTCAAAATGTTGGGATTACAGGTGTGAGCCACCGAGCCGGGCCTGTAAGCTCAACTTTTTTAGTTCCCACATATAAGTGAGAATGTGCAGCATTTATGTTTCTGTGCCTGACTTATTTCACTTAACATAATGTCCTCTAGGCCAGGGGTCCCCAACCCCTGGGCTATAGATTGGTATGGGGACCATGGCCTGTTAGGAACTGGGAGCACAGCAAGAGGTGAGTGGCAGGTGAGCATTACCCCGGAGCTCCATCTCCTGTCAGATGTGCAGAAGCATTAGATTCTCATGGAAGCACAAACCCTATTATGAACTGCGCATGCAAGGGATCCAGGTTGCACACTCCTTATGAGAATCTAACTACTGCCTGATGGTCTGAGATGGAACAGTTTCTTCCCAAAACCATCCTCCCACCCCCTTCCGACCATGGAAAAATTGTCTTCCACTATACCAGTGCCTGGTGCCAAAAAGGTTGGGGACCACTGCTCTAGCTCATCCATGTTGCCATGAATGACAGGATTTCATTCTTTTTTATGGCTGAATAGTATTTTGTTGTTTAAGATATTGTATTATGTGTTTTGTCTCTTTAATTTCTTGCATTAGTCAGAGTTTTCCAGAGAATAGGATGGAGATATGAGATAGAGAGAGATATATATAGAGAAAGAGATTTATCTTAAGGAATTGAGGACTAAACTCTGATTTTTTATCTTGCCCAAATTCCTACCTAAGGGGTCTAGGGAGTTATGCCCTACAAACCATAAATTCTTACAAGATGGGTTTTATTTGACCCTGTATATTGTGACTTACTTTTCAATCTGACTCTGGCATAACAAGGAAGAAAATCACAATGTTTTGGCCAGGTGCAGTGGCTCACGCCTGTAATCCCAGCACTTTGGGAGGCTGAGGCGGGCGGACCATGAGGTCAGGAGATCGAGACCATCCTGGCTAACACAGTAAAACCCTGTCTCTAGTAAAAATACAAAAAGTTAGCCGGGCGTGGTGGCGGGCGCCTGTAGTCCCAGCTACTCGGGAGGCTGAGGCAGAAGAATGGCGTGAACCCGGGAGGCGAAGGTTGCAGTGAGCTGAGATGGCGCCACTGCACTCCAGCCTGGGGGACCTAGTGAGACTCTGTCTCACAAAAAAAAAAAAAAAATCACAATGTTTTATCACAAAATATATTGCCTTGCCATACTTTGAAATTGCCTTACAAAATCTTTGGTGGAAAAAGATCCACATTCTATACCCCCACACCCACCCACCCCCTTTTTCCCCTTCCTTTCCAGATCCAGGAGATAATCAACTAAGAGCCAGGCACCCTTTTAGGTCTGATAAGAAACATTTTACAATCTGCTCTCTCTCTGAAGTCTGCTATCTGAGAGATTTCTTTTCACAATAAAACTTGGTCTCCACAATCCTTTATGTTAACCTGAACATTCCTTTCCATTGATACCCGCCCCCAGCCCCGCGGGGACTTCCAAGTAACCAGTGTGTTTCTTAAATGTATTTGATTGATGTTTCATGCCTTCCTAAAATACACAAAACCAAGCTGCACCCCGACCACCTTGGGCACATGTTCTCAGGACTTCCTGAGGGCTGTGTCACGGGCCATGGTCACTCATATTTGGCTCAGAATAAATCTCTTAAAATATTTTACAGAGTTTGGCTCTTTTCGTCAACAATAATTTGGTGCCCAAACACGTGAGGCCTCAGGGAAGACTCAGGACCCTAAAGGAGTTGCCCAAAACCAGAGCTAAGGTGCCAGCAGGGGCCCATTGAAGCTTCGAGCTTCTCCTCTGGTGGAACTGGTAAGTCCTCCTGAGCCCCAGACCTCCCTTTGGTTGATGGTCCTTGATTTATTCTGAGCTGGTTTTCTCCTAAGAAGTGGTTGTTTAAGGATCCTAATTCTAGTTGGGAGATGCATTCTAAAAGGAATTCTCAATTGCTTTTTCTCCTAAAATCTGTCTAAATTCGGTTTATCTGTACACATTTATGTGAGAAACTGAACTGTTGTTTTCATAGATAAATAAGAGACTGAGTTTTTCAGCTCCTAGGAGAAAGGGCACTTGCTCCTCCCAGCCAAAGGCACCCCTGGGTGACTGGGGCCTCATGGGAGTGTCTGGGGATTAACCCCCCACAATGTGCAACAGCTCTGCGGGGAAATTTCCAACAAAAATTAATTTAACAAATGGCTCATCCAGGAAACCCATATAAGGGTAATCACACAGCATTTTTTTTTTTTTCTTGAGACAGAGTCTTGCTCTGTCACCCAGGCTGGAGTGCAGTGGGATGATCTTGGCTCACTGAAACCTCCACCTCCCAGTTTCAAGCGATTCCCCTGCCTCAGTCTCTGGAGTAGCTGGGATTACAGGCACCTGCCATTTTGATCCAGCAATCCCACTACTAGGTATCTACCCAAAGGAAAAGAAATAATCACATCAAAAGATACCTGCACTTGTATGTTTATTACAACATGATTCATGATGGCAAAGGTATGGAATCAACTGAGTGTCCATCAACAGATGATTGGATAAAGAAATTATGGTCTATATATACAATGGAATACAATCCCTCCACAAAAATCATGTCTTTTGCAGCAACATGGATATAACTGGAGGCCATTATCTTAAGTGAAGCAAGTCAGACACAGAAAGATAAGTACCATATGTTCTCACTTATTTTATTTATTTATTTATTTTGAGATGGAGTCTCACTCTGTTGCCCAGGCTGGAGTGCAGTGGGGCAATGTTGGCTCGCTGAAACCTGAACCTTCTGGGTTCAAGCGATTCTCCTGCCTCAGCCTCCTGAGTAGCTGGGATTACAGGTGTCCACTACCATGCTCAGCTATTTTTTGTATTTTTAGTAGAGATGGGGTTTCACCATGTTGGCCAGGCTGGTTTTGAACTCCAGACCTCAAGTGATCTGTCCACCTCAGCCTCCCAAAGTGCTGGGATTACAGGCATGAGCCACTGCGCTGCCCAATTTATCACTTTTAGAGAGGCAATGTGATAATTTTGGAACCATCACTGACATTCGTAGTGGGTGGGGGAAGAGCCCTCTCCTGCCCTGCTCAGGCCTGTCTAATTACCTGTTGTGTGTGTGTGTGTGTGTGTGTGTGTGTGTGTGTGTGTATGTGGTTGGGGATGTGTTTGCTATTGTGGGGGAAATATAATTAAAAACAAAATCTTCTCTCAACCTAGAAAACCTCTCCACAAAGGTAGAAGAGAAAGAAAACAATTGCCATTGAATAAGCATTGAACCAGAATGTGAGACACATCACAGGCAATTCACAAAGAGTTTGCAAAGACAGAAAGAAATCCTACTTGTTTATATCCTGAAGAAGATAAAACCCATTACAGATATGCTCTCAAGACAAACAATAACTGGTTCTCAAATAGGAGAACTTAGAAGTACCATTTGACATACACATAGTTCATCCTAGATTCACCTGATAATTGGAGTGGCCATCTGTGTTCGCTGGTTGGCTTTAACCAAAGGAAAAACAAAATTCTCACATCCTTGTGACAGGAAGTGGCTTTGCAACTTGAAGCAAGGAACTTGCCAAAGTTAGAGACCTACCCACTCATATAAATTCAGAGATAGGAGCACTACCTTTCTGGATGCTTACATTTCAAAGAGATGGCTCCTAGGTATTTGACAAAGATATTCCTGGGTTGTAAAACTGGCTAGAGGCCTATTTACATTTTAAAAAGATTTACATACATTTCAAAGAGACAGAGAAAGAGAAGGGCGGGGGGGAGGGGTGTTGGGTAAGTCTCTTTCCTTATTTTTAACGGGGAGAGTTAAGTCTCATATTTAATTTGTATCTGCCCTCACGCTATCCGATTGTTGTTGGCTCAGAGCAGATGTTTGGGAGTGTTTCAAACTATCCCTATTACATATATATGCCTTTATTCTAATTTTAAAAAGTTAATTTTGTTTTTCTTTCTTTAGTTTCTTGAATTAGTTTCTTATTTTTGTCTTCCGTTTATGTGTTTGTGTTTTGCTTTAATTACACAAATAGTGCACAATATATTTTCCTTTAATTCTGTGAATTTTAAAAACAATTGTGCACATTGATAAGAATTATGAAAATAAAAAGTTTCTGACAACACCAATTGCTGGTGAGGTTGCAGAACAACTGGAAATTGCAGTCACTCTAGAAAATGGTTTGTCAGTTTATTTGAAAGGTAAACATACACGTACCTCAGGACCTAGCAATCCTGAACCTGGTATTTACCCTAGTGAAACGAAAACTTACGGTCACACAAACATCTGTAAAAACTGCTCATATCAACTTTATTTATTTATTTATTTGTTTTTGAGACAGAGTCTCTCTCTATTGCCTAGGCTGGAGTGCAGTGGTGTAATCTTGGCTCACTGCAACCTCCACCTCCCAGGTTCAAGTGATTCTCCTGCCTCAGCCTCCTGAGTAGCTGGGATTACAGGTGTGTGCCACCACACCTAGCTAATTTTTGTATTTTTAGTAGAGACAGGGTTTCACCATGTTGGCCAGGCTGGTCCCAAACTCTTGACCTCAACGCCCATCTCAGCCTCCCAAAGTGTTGGGGTTAGAGACGTGAGCCATCATGCCTGGCCATCTTAGAAACTTTATTTGTGATAGCCAAAAGCTGAAAACAACCCAAATGCCCTTCAATGAATGAATGGATAAACAGATGTACCACATCCATAGAATACAATCATACTCAGCAGTAAAAAGGAATGAGTTATTGATACTGGTAGAAACTTGGATGAATCTCAAAGACATGCTGTTACTAGGTCGTTCTCACATTGTTATAGAGATATACCTGGGACTGGGTCATTTGCTAAAAAAAAAAGAGGTTTAGTTGTCTCACTGTTCAGCAGGCTATATAGGAAGCATGATGCTGGCATCTGCTTGGCTTCCGGGGAGGCTTCGGGAAACTTACAATCATGGTGGAAGGTTAAGGGTGAGCAGGCACATGGCATAGCCAGAGCAGGAGCAAGAGAGTGGGGAGGTGCTCCACGCTTAAACCAGGTCTCTGCAGAACTCACTCACTATCCTTAGGACAGTACCAAGGGGATGATACCGAACCATTCATGAGAAATCTGTCCCCATGATCCAATCGCCTCTCACTAGGCTCTACCTCCAACATCGGGGATTACAATTCAACGTGAGATTTAGGTGGAGACACAGGTACATACCATATCACATGCTGAGAGAAGCTGGTCTCAAAACGTTAAATACTACATGATTCCATTTATGTCACATTCTTGGAAAAGGCAAAATTATAGTGATGGAAAATAGATCAGTGGTTGCCAGGGATTATGGGTGGGGTGACGGTTTGGCTACAGAGGGGTGAGCATCCGGGAACTTTTCTTAGGGTGATGAAACTGTTGTGTGTCCTATTTGTGGTGGTGGTTACATGAATCCAAATATTTATTAAAATCTATAGAACTATATACCAAGAAAGATCACATTTACTCTATAATTAAATTGTAAAAAACAAATAATTTATTACACTGTACTTGTTCTTCAGCTTCCTTTTAAAATTTCAATGATAGGTTCAACAGCTCTTTTTATATCTAAAAATATAAATGTCCATTATTCTTTTCTATTGCTGCATAACTTCATATATATGGATGTAGTGTGGTTCAGTTAAACATCCCTCTGTCAAATAAACTGCATGTACTTTATTTTTCCAATTTTTCCTTTTTTTTTTTTTATGAGATGGAGTCTTGCTCTGTCACCCAGGCTGGAGTGCAATGGCATAATCTCGGCTCACTGGAAACTCTGCTTCCCAGGTTCAAGCGATTCTCCTGCTTCAGCCTCCTGAGTAGCTGGGATTACAGACACGTGCCACTACTTCTGGCTAATTTTTGTATTTTTAGTAGAGGCGTGGTTTCACCATGTTGGCCAGGCTGGTCTTGAACTCCTGACCTCAGGTAATCCACCCGCCTTGGCCTCCCAAAGTGCTGGGATTACAGGCATGAGCCACCGCGCCCGGCCCATTTTTTCTTTTTAAAAACAAAATAAAAATGATTTTTTTTTTTTTGAGATGACATCTCACTCTTGTTCCCCAGGCTGGAGTGTGATAGCACCATCTCGGCTCACTGCAACCTCCACCTCCCAGGTTCAAGCAATTCTCCTGCCTTAGCCCCCCGAGTAGCTGGGATTACAGGTGCCTACCACCACTCCAGGCTAGTTTTGGTATTTTAAGTAGAGACGGGGTTTCACCATGTTGGCCAGGCTGGTCTCGAACTCCTGACCTCAGGTGATTCACCCGCCTCAGCCTCCCAAATTGCTGGGATTACAGGCATGAGCCACTGCGCCCAGCCAAAATTGGAAATGATTATTTCTGATTATGCCTCTTTGTGCACATGGATTAATTTTTTTTTTTTTTTGAGACAGGGTCTTGCTCTGTCATCCAGGCTGGAGTGCAGTGGCCCAATCTTGGCTCACTACAACCTCCGCCTCCCAGGTTCAAGTGATTCTCCTGCTTCAGCCTCCTGAGTAGCTGGGATTATAGGTGTGTACTACCACGCCCAGCTATTTTTTGTATTTTTAGTAGAGGCGGGGTTTCGCCATGTTGGCCAGGATGGTCTCCATCTCTTGACCTTGTGACCTGCCCACCTCAGCCTCCCAAAGTGCTGGGATTACAGGCGTGAGCCACTGCACTCCGCCAAGTACTAATATATTTTAAGGATAAATAACTAAATGCTTCACAAGTGTATTGCCAGCGCCACATTAATAATTTAAAAAAATTTGTCAATATAATAAATGAAAACTATAAAAATTTCAAAAATATGGAGGCATTGATCAATAAAAACAAAACATTTCTTTGAAAAGATCGGTAAAATAGATGATTCTTAGGTAAGGCTGCTGAGCAAGTTCAGGTCTGTTAGCTTTTTGAGTTTAATTAACTAAATTTAACTTTGAGTTTAATTAGCTTTTAATTTAAAAATGTAAAATTTCTTGTTTTCTAGTAAATGCCTTTAAATCTTTCATCTAATTTCCACTTTAACCATTTTCATGAAGATTTTATATGTAGAACTCTCATTTTGATTCATTTCCAAAATCTTGTAGTTTTTATGTTTTTTTAACCCACAATTATTTAGAAGGTTGAAAAAACCCCACCTCATATACACATACCTTTTTTGGAAGTTCTAATGTTGTTATATTGTGGTTAGTTTATATGAGTGGACTGACTTCTTTTGGAATATTTGAAATACACATGTATTATAATAATCAATTTTTAGCCATTTTTTAGCTATGCTTTAAAATTGTATGTATCTATTTTGTTACTTAATAGTTCTACATGTGTATTAAATCAATATTTTAAAAATACCTATTTAATCCTTTAAGATAAGCATGCTTGTGCATTTTTTGTTTACTTTGAGGACTCCTGAGGCCTATGGCCTATTAAAGATTTCCGTCTTAATTATAGATTTATTCATTTCTTCTTATCTTTTCAGCAGTTTTACATTTTATGTGTTTTGTATTTTTGAAAATTTACTAATTTTAGCTCTTCATTAATTCTAGGTTTTATCATTGGAAAAACCCAATGTTATCTCAGCCTTCCTTCCTTCCTTCCTTCCTTCCTTCCTTCCTTCCTTCCTTCCTTCCTTTCTTTCTTTTTCTTTTTCTTTTTCTTTTTTTTTTGTTTACCAGAACTATGGAGATTGGGGCCAGAGAGATGGGCCACTGTTTTGAGCAAGCCTGGATCTGGACTTGGGACTAACTTTGGCCAATAGAGTATATCAGAAGTGATTCCTGTTCTGAACCTAGGCTTGGGCCTCAAGAGGCCTTGCATACTCACGCTCTCTCAGAACTCTGCTCTGTTGCCAGGAAAACAAGCTTCAGCTAACCTTTTGGAACAGAGACAGACTATTCCAGTGGAGTCCACCCTAGACCTGCCAGCTCCCATTAATCCTCACATGCATGAGCCCAAAAGTGAAGAGAAGAACCTCTCAGCTGAGCCCAGCCTCAATTTGTAACTCATAGAATTATGACATACATAAATGATTTTGCTTTAAGCTACTAAATTTTGGTGTGGTTTGTTACATGGCAGGAACTAACTGATGCACATGAACTCTTCAACGTTTCTGACATATTGTTTTAGTTCTCTAAACAGAATTTGTGTGTGTGTGTGTGTGTGCATGATTTGCTATTTTGATTCCATCTCAGTTCTTCATTAATTATTTCCATTTATAAAAAGATGCGTTTAATCCAGGGTTTAAAAAATCGTAAATACCAGTTAGGCTGCATCCTAAAGATTTTTCTTTATTTCCATGCAGTGTTATCATTATTTATATAAAGGGTATTTTCAGCTTATTACTTGATATGATTTTGCTGCGTCACCACCGAAATCTCATCTTGAATTGTAGTTCCCATAATCCCCACGTTTTGTGGGAGGGACCAGGTGGAGATAATTGAATCACGGAGTGGTTTCCCCATCCTGTTCTCGTGATAGTGTGTGAGTTCTCACAAGATCTGATGGTTTTATAAGGGGCTTTTCCCCCTTTTGTGCTGCATTTTTTCTTGCTGCCACCATGTGAAGAAGGATGTGTTTGCTTCCCCTTCCACCATGATTGTAAGTTTCCTGAGGCCTCTACAGCCCTGCAGAACTGTGAGACAATTAAACCTCTTTCCTTTATAAAGTACCCAATTTCAGGTATGTCTTTATATAGTGTGAGAATGGACTAATACATACTATTGAACAATTTAAATGTGTGTAAAAGTCAAGCAATAATATAATGAGCCCCCATGTATTCATCATCCAAATTCAACATTAACTCATGGCCAATCTTGTTTCTTATATAACCCAATTTACTTTCCCCTTCTTGGATTTCCCCTCCTTTGAAGCAAATCCCTGATATTATAAGATTTCTCTTGTATATATTTTAATAGGTATCTCTCGGCGACCCTTTTGAAAAATACACCCTTAAGGAACCTGTATACTCTTTTGGTGGGAATGTAGATTAGTGGAGCCATTAAGGAAAACAGTATGAAGGTTCCTAAATAAATTAAAAATAGCACTACCATAGGACCCAGCAATTCCTCCTCTGGGTATATACCTAGAGGAAGTGAAATCATCACCTCATAAAATATCTGTACTCCTACGTTCATTGTAGCATTATTCACAATAGCCGAGGTGTGGAAACAACTGAAGTATTCATTGAAGGATAAATGGGCAAAGAAACTATGGTATATATACAATGGAATATTTTTCAGCCTTAAAAAAGAAGGAGATTCTGCCATATGGGGCAACGTGAGTGAATCTGGAGGACATTGTACTAAGTGAAATAAACCAGACACAGAAAGAGAAATTCTGCATGATCTCACTTATATGCAGAGTTTAAAAACTAGAAAAAACAAAGTTGAATGCAGAGATAGAGAATAAAGTGGTTATTACTGGGGTGTGGTGGAGGGGTAGGAAATGGGGAAATGTAGGTCAAAGGACACAAAGTTGCAGATATGTAAGAGAAACAAGTCTAGAGGTCTAATGTACAATAGTTAATAATATCGTATTGTATTCAGGATTTTTGCTAAGAGTAGATTTTAGGTGCTCTTGCCACACATACACAAAAATTGTAGCTGTGAGATGATGGATATGTTAATTTGCATGACCACAGAAATTATTTCTCTCTCTCTCTCTCTCTCTCTCTCTCTATATATATATATATATATATATATATATACATACACACATCATGTTGCACACCTTAAATATATACAGTTAAAAAACACATTCTTAGGCTGGGCGTGGTGGCTCATGCCTATAATCCTAGCACTTTGGGAGGCCGAGGCAGGTGGATCAACTGAGGCCAGAAGTTCCAGACCAGCCTGGCCAACATGGCAAAAGCCCATCTCTACTAATAAAAAAATACAAAAATCAGCCAGGTATGGTGGTGCATGCCTGTAATCCCAGCTACTCGAGAGGCTGAGGCATGAGAATCGCTTGAACCCAAGAGGCAGAGGTTGCAGTGAGCCGAGATCGCGCCACTGCAGTCTAGCCTGGGCAACAGAATGAGACTCTGTCTCAAAAAACAAACAAACAAAAAACACATCCTTAAAACCATTATCATACCTGATAAATTATTAATATTTCATTCTTATTATATTTTATAATATGACTTCATATTATAAACTATGAAGTCAGCATTCATTTTCTCAAATGCATATTTTTTCAAATTTTTAGAATCAGCATTCAAATATGATCCATAAATTGTAATTTGTAGATGTGTCTTCTGAGTTTCTTAATTTATGTTACCCCTCCATCTGTTTTTTCATTTTTGTGTGTGTTTTTTTTCTTTTCATCTTATTTGACAAAACATGATCATTTGTGCAGCAGAGTTTCTCACATTCCCAAAAAAATTTTTGGAGATGTCTTTTAATGTTTTTCAATGAAAACTGAACGAGTACTTTTATTTAAATGTCACCTCATAAAGGCAATCAACACAGGTGACCTTTTCCTGGAGCGATTCTATTCTAATGCACTCCTCATAGACAGCAAAGCCTTCTCTTCATCTCAAATACTTCCTCAGATTGGCTCACATCTATTTCCCTAAAAGTTATTTATTGCCCATTGAAAGCTAAGAAACATTCAGAAACCATTTTATGAGAAAAACCAAGTTAAAATATGTGAAAAATCATGTTGCTTTCTCCTAGGCTGCCTTTTTTTCAAGAGTTTGTCTCTTGGAGCTTGAATTTAATGACTGGCGGCCTGTCAGTGGTATAGCCACATATATACACTGAGGCAAGTGTGAAAGCTTTAGGGGAAGGAACTTTCTAGAAATTCTATCCTTGATTCTCAGTTTTCTGATGATTTTTCAAAATATAACAGGCTCTGGAAACTAATTTTTCCTCGTGTTATTTTGTACTTTTAGGCCAAGCAGGGTGAAGGATAATGTTGCATTTCAGAATTTGCTGATTGAATCCCCATGGTGGTATTTCATGATCTTCCTTTGTCCTTGGTATATCCTAGAGCTTGGGAGTTAGAGTGGGAGCCTTGATTAGATTTGGGTTGATTTTTTTTTTCTTTTTTGGCAAAATAGCTTTGAAGGTGATATTGTATACTTCTATCAGGAGGCACAAATGTCTAATTGTTCTTTTTGTTGTGATTTTCTCAGCCATTAATGATCATTGCCTAGATCCGTAAATTCACCTGAGATTACAAAATGGCGATTTGTCTCAATGCTATTATTCCTTCATTTATTAGCTGGAAATATTTCTAAAGAGCAAAATTCCTTATCAATAATTTGGTTCTTCTGAGGTGCAGTTTTTACAGAAAAGCCAGGATAAATTCTTCACTTTTCTTTCTTTCTTTTTTTTTTTTTTTTGAGACAGAGTCTCACTTTGTCACCCAGGCTGGAGTATAGTGGCGTGATCTCGGCTCACTGCAACCTCCACCTCTGGGTTCAAGTGATTCTCTATCTCAGCCTCCTGAGTAGTAGCTGGAACTACAGATGCCCGCTACCACGCCTAGCTAATTTTTGTATTTTTAGTAGAGATGGGGTTTTGCTATATTGGCCAGGCTGGTCTCAAACTCCTGACCTCAGGTGATCCGCCTGCCTTGGCATCCCAAACTGCTGAGATTGCAGGTGTGAGCCGCTGTGCCAGGCCAAATTCTTTACCTTTCTTTATCAGTTTTGGACATGTTTGATATGTTTCAATTAATTGTAGTTATTTTATTTTTATGTTTCCAGCTTTATTGAGGTATAATTGACAAATAATAATTGTACATATTTAAGACGTACAATGTGATGTTTTGATAGACATATACATTGTGACATGATTACCACTATCAAGCTAATTAACATATTCATCACCTCTCATAGTCACCATTTTTTTCTGTGGTAACAATATTTAAGATCTACTCTTAGCAAATTTCAAGTATACAACACAGTATTATTAACTGTAGTCACTGTGCTATGCAGTAAGCTCCCGAACTTATTCACCCTGCATAACGGAAACTTTGTACCCTTTGACTAGTACTTCTTCATTTCCCTCAACTCCCTTGGTAACCACCATCCTACTCTCTGTGTCCATGAGTTTGACATTTTAAGATTCCACACATAGGTGAGATCATTCAGTATTTGTCTGCCTGTGTCTGGCTTATTTCACTTAGCATAATGTCCTCCAGGTTCATCTGTGTTGTCACAAATGGCAGGATTTCTTTCTTTTTAAAGGCTGAATAATATTTCATTGTGTATATCACATTTTCTTTATATATTTATCCATCCATAGACACCTAGGTGGATTACATATCTTGGTTACTGTGAATAATGCATGCAATTATTTTTTATCAAGGTTCACATTTTCCCATCTTTGCCAAGAGAAAGCCCCTTCAAGTTGACTTCTTTGTTTTTTTTGACATGACTTCAGTAGTCTTTGTCAAGCTGCTTTTTTCCAGTATGGTAAAATCTTCCAGGTACATTTGTATAGTTGCTTCAAGCTCAGAAACAGCAATTTCTTCAATAAGACTTTGGTAAATTATATTTAGAGATAATATCCCGGGTGAGAGGGAAATCATTTCTACTAGGTTGGCCAATATTTCTAGGGCTTTTCAGTGGATGGGGGTAGAAAAAGGTATTTTAAAAATAAAATATAAAATTCCAATTCAAATTTAGGATTTACAGAATTTTTACCTGAACTTTTATTTCTTATCTCTATCAGTGACACCAACATTCATTTCCTTTATCCCACAATATATGTATTAAAGTCTCAATATGATTACTGAAAACATTGAAAACAGTTTGCAATTCTTCTGTTTTTAGGTTATATTCCAATAAGGAAGTATTCTCAAATTACTCTTTGAAAGTCATTTCAAATAGTCCTTTGTGTGGTTATACAACCCATTTATTACAGAGGCTAATTTGATTTCTATTCCTTTTAGATTTTTGGGATTGCCATTTAAGTTTCGATATTCTTGTATTAGATAAAATATGTAGATGATTCCAAAGTCAAACCTTCAAAGCAGAGTATATTCAGAGAAGTCCAGTTTTTATACCTGTCCCCCTCCTCTGTTTCCTCCTCCTTCTAGACATGTCCATTCTAAAATTTTCTTTCTTTTTAAAAATAGATATATTTAATTCTTTTTTCCATGTCCCCTCCCCTCTATCATTTCTTTCTCAATATGGAAGATTCCAGGGTACTCAAGGTCACTGAAGCCAGAAACAAGAGAGAAACAAAAGCCAGAGGCAAGAACTTCATGCTTGAAGGATCAGAACGTGCCTTAAGAGAAGTAGCTGGGTAGATTGGATGGGGACAGAGCTACCTGTGTCACTTGTCTGGAGCTACATTTATTGGCCTTAGATGAGATCAAAAGTTGGGCAGTGAGCCAGGGATGAAGTAGAAATCTCTGCTATTAGGGTGAATAGATTTTGTTACTCTAAGTGGTTATTGCTTAAATTGACTGAGCACTCACAGAATGCACAGAAAATTAGCACCAGTCTTTGGAAATGCATTTTCTAGCTACTGCTGGCATGGGTGAGGCAACATAAGAAAAACTGTGTACTGTTCCTGGGAGGGCAATTTGTCAATATATAGCCCATGTCTAAAACAAAATTAAATGAAACTCTGCTTGCCCTTTGACCCAAAATAATGCACATAGCATAAAAGAATATGTTCATGAAGGTGCAAGAACTATATTGCCTTCTTAGCATTACTCATAGTGAGAATGTGAAAAGTAAGCTAAATGTCTATCAATAGAGAATCTGCTAATTTATGGCACTTAACACATTAGAATTCCATTTAAACAATGATGATAATTGAGGACTATCCTTATTATATAAAAGACTGTCAGTGATATCTTAGGTAGAAAAGAAAAATGACAGGAAAGCGTGGGTAGTATAAGCTAGTCTTTGTTATATATGTATACATGTAAAATATATATACATATAATTTGTGTATTCTCTGGAAGGATATATACAAAAATTTAATGGTCTTTCTCTTTGGGAAAGATTTTGTTATTCTTATTTTATCTTCCATAAAGTTTTCTGTTTTGTCTGAGTGTTCAAAATGACTATAAGTAACCTCATAATCAGAAAAAGTTAATTAAGCTATTTCCATGTATGGAAAATATCTTTTCTGAAAAGTTTTGAGATGAGTATATTCATATAGAAATATTGGCTTTCTTTCCTGATTAATACAAAAGATTGATTGGCTTGCCAAATCAGAATCAGGGGAATCAGAGATCTTTCCCAGCATTAAGCTTTAGTAATAATTTCAAGGATACGGGTAATTACGAAGCAGGTAAAAATGCAAAAGTCTGGGATGTCCACACCACTTCCCAGGTCCTTTCTTGCCTCATGAAAATAAGCCATGGGATAGGTTTAACATGAAAGATCTCTAAGTGATGTCTGTGATGCATGGGTGCCCATCAGCTACCCAAAGGGGCTATTTTAGCTAGAAACATCTCCATTTTATTCTCTGGCAATTACTTAGCATTACAAACACATGACATTTTTCAAGGAGCCATGCCCTGTAAATTCATAGACTCTAAGTTTGTTTACCAGAAGCAATTGAGGACTGAGCAGATGCATTCTGCTACATAAAGACCCCTCTGCTAGTGAATATCATTAGCATATTTACCAGAAGGTCTCTTATTAGCATGTTATAAGGAGATCTGACAGAGTCAGAGTCAAGTTTTTTTTTTTTTTTTTTCTTTCCTGCCAGAAGTATCTCCTGTTAAAGGGAGAGAATTGATTTCAGGACTACTGTTAACTCTTTCCTTCTCATCTCTTAAAATGCAAAGGTATTCCCAATGAATTTCTGACTTATATGTGTGTGTTTCTTAATGGAATTTTTTTTAGGACTTTCATTATCATAGCTTTTGTATCTGTGCTCTAATTCTAATTTCTTTTACAGTGTGGGAGCCAAAAATAAAGGCAATAATCTAAGTGTGAACTTTTCAGGCCGCTTACATTTGGCAATTGCAGGAGCTGTCCAAATCCTTCAGGATTAGGAAATCCTTTAGAATAGGGATATTCACCACTCCTCCTTATACTGGGTCACCAGTAATATCGAGACTTCTATAGCTTCTTCCAAACTTTTTTTTTTTTTTTTGAGACGAAGTCTCACTCTGTCACCCAGGCTGGAGTGCAGTGGCGTGATCTTGGCTCACTGCAACCTCTGCTTCTCAGGTTCAAGCAATTCTCCTGCCTCAGCCTCCTGAGTAGCTGGGATTACAGGTGCATGCCACCATGCCTGGCTAATTTTTTGTATTTTTAGTAGAGATGGGGTTTCACCATGTTAGCCAGGATGGTCTCGATCTCCTGACCTCGTGATCTGCCTGCCTAGGCCTCCCAAAGTGCTGGGATTACAGGTGTGAGCCGCCACGCCTGGCCTCTTCCAAACCATTTCTAAGAGTATGAAATAAGCTTATCCATGTAGATCCTTTATGATATAACTGGCATTAGGTACATGCACCAAAGCTGTTGCCAGTGAGAGTCAAGGAAGCATAGCACTTAAGCGTAGGGTCTCTGATATGATGAGACATGGGTTCCAATCCTGATTCTACTGCTTATCTGTGAACTTCAGCAACTTAAGTTAAACTTTCAGTTGTATTATTTATATAAAGTCTATGGGGTTGTTTTAAGGACTAAATGAGATAATATACTCAAGGTTCCCAGTACTGTATCTGGCTCTTAAAAATGCCCTGTAACTCAAATATTTGCATTATTAATATTGGTTTTTTTTTGTTGTTGTTTTTGACAGAGTCTCGTTTTGTCTCCCAGGCTGGAGTGCAGTGGCGTGATCTCGGCTCACTGTAACTTCCACCTCCCAGGTTCAAATGATTCACCTGCCTCAGCCTCCTGGGTAGCTGGGACTACAGGCGCATGCCACCGCACCTGGTCTGCTTTTCTATACATCTTCCTCCAGGTTGCTATTCTTTCCTTAATCCTCTTTGGCATTGTCATGGAGCACTTATTAACTCATTGGGCTGCCTTTGAATCAAAACTCTGTTTATTGATCTTGTTCAGCAGGATCAATTTTCAGGTTCACTGAGAGCATCAGTGATTAAGCCGTAAAGATGTGGAACCCATGGTTATAAGAGGTTCTTCGTTATGGATGCGTGGTCTCTCTAGAGACAAGGTGATCTGACTGTTACGTGGGGCATAATCATGTGGTAGTTTTTAGGGCTGTGCTGAAACACTGAAATCCAGAAGAGACTATAGAGAGCTGAAAGCACGGTGCATCCCATTCCCTCTCTTTGCTCAGACCCACACAACAGAGAGGAAACAGTAGCCAACAGTATCTATGATAACTAGTCGTGTGCTTTTTCTTTTTTTTTTTCTTTTGAGATGGAGTCTAGCTCTGTCACCCAGGCTAGAGTGCAGTGGTGTGATCTCAGCTCACTGCAACCTCCGCCTCCCATGTTCAAGCGATTCTCCTGCCTCAACCTCCTGAGTAGCTGGGACTACAGGTGCGCACCACCACACCTAGCTAATTTTTGTATTTTTAGTAGAGACGGGGGTCTCACCATGTTGGCCAGGCTGGTCTTGAACTCCTGACCTTGTGTTCCACCCACCTCGGCCTCCCAAAGTGCTGGGATTATCATTTTGTCTTACGTTTTTGCCATAATTTGGACCCACAGGAAGCTTGATAATTTTATTAGCACACAGAGTATCACACAGGTATACAATGTGCTGATAAGATCTGGTGAAGATAAAGTAGTTTCTTGCTACAAGCCAGAAGATTCAGCAAAACCCCCATGAAACAACAAAGACTTCCATTTCAGCAAGGTTGCAGTGGATCCACAGTCTATGGTTCAAAGAGATAGAAAATTTGCTTCTTCTTGCACAATTACAACCTTCGGCCCTCTTCGAATTTTGGAGGCATATTGTGTGATCTTAGGTAACTTAATCTCTTCAAGCCTCAGTTTCATCATCTGTCAAATTGAGATAATTGTCCATTCATAATAGGGCTGTTTAAAGACTAGAGAAGGTGATTCATGTAAATAATTTGGCACAGGGCTGGCTTATAGGAAGTGTCTTATAGCAATTTTTTCTGAAGATAAACTTCCTCTAAGTTGCTGAAATGAAAACGAAACAGCTGAATCCTATTGACTCAGAAGCATAGTTTGTAAAACACTTTATCTTGAAAATGTTTTGAGATGAGTATATTCACACAGAAATATTTGATTTCTTTCCCAATTAACACAAATGATTGATTGGCTTGCCAAATCAGATTCAGGGGAATCAGAGATCTTTCCCAGCATTAAGCTTTAGTAATAATTTCAAGGATTCAGGGGATTATGAAGCGCAGGATTGTTAGATGGGCCTTTCTCACCCTTTCCTGCCCAAATCCTCAAAGATCGAAAGAAGCTGCCCAGAATCTCTGGCAACTGAGAATATGCACTCTGCCGTTCCTCCACTCTCACCTCATTCCCTTACTCCTGCAAGCTCTAAGCCACTCCCACAGCTCCACTCCACAGCAGTCTGCCTCACTCTACCCACGCTTCCTCTTTCCCACAACCTCAGCACCCACTCCCCCTTCCTCACTCAGAGCTAGAGGTTCTTTTTATTGCAGTGAGCATGACTTTCACTATACATGTCTTGCTGTTATGTGGTCATTTGCCTATTTATTTCTCTTTCTTGGCTGCACAATTTTTAAAGAATGAAAATGATTAGAGTTCATTCATTTCTTAGTCCTTAATGTTTGCCCAGAGACCAGAATAGATGCTAATAAATAATTGCTGAGCAATGGAAGAAATATACTTTCTGAACACAGCCGAGTCTGACTACAACTTTATATAAACTTCTGTCTTAGATTTGAGTTAAAAATCCTATTGAAGTTGCTCAGCTTTCTCCCGGGCCTGTGACTGACAAATTTAGAATAAAGGCAGAGGCTCAGGGTGTTTTAAGAGGCATCTGTTGGCCGGGCACGGTGGCTCGCGCCTGTAATCCCAGCACTTTGGAAGGCTGAGGCAGGTGGATCACCTGATGTCAGGTGTTTGAGACCAGCCTGGCCAACATGGTGAAACCCCATCTCTACTAAAAATACAAAAATCAGTCAGGCATGGTGGTGGGTGCCTGTAATCCTGGCTACTCGGGAGGCTGAAGCAGGAGAATCGTTTGAACCTGGGAGGCGGAGGCTGCAGTGAGCCGAGATTACGCCATTGCACTCCAGCCTGGGTGAAAAGAGCAAAACTCTGTCTCAAAAAAAAAAAAAAAAAAAAAGCATCTGTTGTTCCTATTGTTCCTACCTCATTCCTCCCCCTCCTCCTTTCTTTTTTTTTTTTTGGTTGGGGAGGGGACAGGGTCTCACTATGTTGCCCAGGCTGGAGTGCAATGGCTATTCACAGGTATAATCACAGTGTACTACAGCCTAGAACTACTGGGCTCAAGCAATCCTCCTGTCTCAGCCTCCTGAGTAGCGGGTAATACAGGCATGTGCCATCACACCTGGCTTTATCTGACCTCCATTTACCCAGAGCTCAGAAAGAAGGAAGAAAGGATATTATCTTTTTTATGGCCTGTATTAGTCTAGGGCTGCTATCGCAGAATACCACAGCCTGTGTGGCTTAAACAGCAGATACTCATTTTCTCTCAGTCCTGAAGACGAGAAGTCCAAGATCAAGGTGCTGGCAGGTTTGGTTTCTCCTGAGACCTCCTTCCTTGGCTTGCAGATGGCTGACCTCTTGCTGTGCCCTAACATGACCTTTTCTTTGTGTATGCATATCCTTGGTATCTTTTCCTCTTCTCGCAAAGATACCAATTATGTTGGATAGGATCCTGCTCATATGACCTCTTTTAACCTTAATTACCTCTTTAAAGGCTTTACCTCCAAATACAGTGACATTGTGGGTTATGGCTTTAGCATATGAATTTTGAGGGGAACACAGTTCAGCCCATTGGCTCACTTAGTGGTGAAGGATGTAGATAACCTATTGTCCTCTACGGGTGCAGGACAGGCCAAACTAGCATGCAGCTCTCTGAGCAGATGAGTAGAGAGCAGGGAAGCCAGTAGTGACACTGTTTCTTGCTTGGATTTTTCTAATTCAACTTGTCCAGGCAGGAGTCTGGACAAACAGTGCCAGCTGCTGTGTGCCTGCCCTGCCCTCTAGAGCCCAGCACATTCCTTAAGGCATTCTGAGTCTCATGTACTAACAAAAGGCCTTTGCTTTGTTACAGTAAATATATATTTTTTTCTGGACATTACCAAGCTCCCAACTTTTTATTTATGGTTTTATTTAGTGCTCTTTTCTTCATCATCTTAGGTTATTTACTGGCTAATTTATTTTATATATGCTCATAATAGTCTTTCATTTCATAATTTTTACAACTAACAATTTGAGTTCATAAACAACATTTTCAAAGTAGTTCTGGACTGGAAATCAGGCCTTTAGAAGTGATGTAGTTAGTTAGGGATGGGCTTCTAATCAACTGGGATGCCCTCTCTAATAGTTATCTTCATCACTGGCCCTCCCCGCTTCTATCCGCTGTCATGCTTGCAGTAACATCATTAAGCACGGGATCACCTCACTGCTTAGCAAAGACAGACAGAATTCACCTGCATACATATTAGGTTGGTGCAAAAGTAATTGCGATTTCAGACCGTGAATTTTAAATCACTATAACTAGGCTCAAACACATCTTGATTACTCAAATTAGGAACCATTACAATCAACACATTTTTGCCAATGAGGAATAAATTTGTTTATTCCTGTAGTGTAAAAATCTGTGCTTTGGGATTCAACAAACCCTTGGAAGCATTTTCGGCATCCTGCTGATTGTGGAAACATTTTCCCTGCAAAAAGTTGGAAGAAGTGGTAGTCGATCGGCGAGAGGTCAGGTGAATATGGCAGATGAGGCAAAACTTCGTAGCCCAATTCATTCAACTTTTGAAGTGTCGGTTGTGCAACATGAGGTCAGGCCTTGTCGTAAAGAACTGGGCCCTTTCTGTTGACCAGTGCCGGCTGCAGGCATTGCAGTTTTCGGTGCATCTCATTTCCATCTCATTTTCTGAGCATGCTTATCAGAGGTAATGGTTTCGCTGGGATTCAGAAAGCTGTAGTGGATCACAGTGCCAAACAGTGACCATGACCTTTTTTTTTGGTGCAAATTTGGCTTTGAGAAGTGCTTTGCAGCTTCCTGGTCCAACCACTGAGCTGCTTGTAGCAGGTTGTCACATACAATACACTTTTCATTGCCATGTCCCAATCCAATTGAGAAATGGTTCATTGTTGCGTAGAATAAGAGATGACGACACTTCAAAATGATGATTTGATTTTTGCTCAGCTCATGAGGCACCCACTTATCGAGCTTTTTCATCTTTCCAATTTGCTTCAAATGCCAAACGACCATAGAATGGTCAAGGTTGAGTTCTTCAGCAACTTCTTGTATAGTTGTAAGAGGATCAGCTTCAATGATTGCTCTCAATTGGTGGTTGTCAACTTCCAACGGCCGGCCACTACATTCCTCATCTTCGAGGTTCTCCTCTCCTTTGCAAAACTTTTTGAACCACGACTGCACTGTACGTTCGTTAGCAGTTCCTGGACCAGATGCGCAGTCGATGTTGCAAGTTGTCTCTGCTGCTTTACGACCCATTTTGAACTTGAATAAGAAAATCGCTTGAATTTTCTTTTTGTCTGACATCATTTCCATAGTCTAAAATAAACATAAAATCAACAGCAAGTAATAAGTCATTATCAAAAAACATAAAGTGAGAAATGCCTATTAAAATGATGTATAGGCCGGGAGCAGTGACTCATGCCTGTAATCCCAGCACTTTGGGAGGCTGAGGCGGGTGCATCACCTGAGGTCAGGAGTTAGAGACCAGCCTGATCAACATGGAGAAACCCCGTCTCTACTAAAAATACAAAATTAGTCAGTCATGGTGGCACAGGCCTGTAATCCCAGCTTCTAGGGAGGCTGAGGCAGGAGAATAGCTTGAACCCGGGAGGAGGAGGTTACGGTGAGCCAAGATCACACCATTGCACTCCAGCCTGGGCAACAAGAGCGAAACTCCATCTCAAAAAAAAAAAAAAAAAAAGTGTAACATAACCACATTTATTTAAGAACGCATTCTAATATCAAACAGCAAATTCCAACAATGCAAAAACTGCAATTACTTTGCACCAACCTAATAGTTCAGGGTAGGGTAGTAGTTTATTGATTGATTGATACTTTGGTGACTCCCTGTGAAGTGCTCCATGAATGCACTGCTAGTAAGTGGAATGTTCATAGGTTTCTAATTTGATCAGATTGGGTTCTAATATTGGCCTGAGAAGTTAAAAAAAATATAGAGTCACACAGTCCCTGAGTGGCAGGACCTGGAGTGGCAGGACCTGGGATGGCCAGGGTGAGTCCTAATCTCACTCTCTCTCTTTTTTATTTTTATTTATTTATTTAGAGATGGAGTTTTGCTTTTGTCACCCAGGCTGGAGTGCAGTGGCACAATCTCGACTCACTGCAACCTTCGCCTCCCAGGTTCAAGCAATTCTCCTGCCTCAGCCTCCTGAGTAGCTGGGATTACATGTGCCCGCCACCACACCCAGCTAATTTATGTATTTTTAGTAGAAATGGGGTTTCACCATGTTGTCCAGTCTGGTCTCGAACTCCTGACCTCAGGTGATCCACCTGCCTCGGCCTCCCAAAGTGGTGGGATTATAGGCATGAGCCACCATGCCCAACCTCCTTTCTCTTTTTCTTTAAAAGGCAGGGTCTTGCTCTGTTGCCCAGGCTGGAGTGCAGTGGTACGACCACAGCTCACTGCAGCCTCAACCTTCTGGGCTCAAGCAATCCTCCCTCCTCAGCCCCCACAGCCCCTGCCCCACAGTAGCAGGGACTGGAGTTATGTACCATGACACCTGGTTAATTTTTATTTTTTACATAGACAGAGTCTCATGATGTTGCCCAGACTGGTCTCAAACTCCTGGGCTCAAGCCATCCTCCTGCCTCGGCCTCCCAAAGTGTTGGGATTAAAGGCATGAACCGTCACATTCGGCCATGAAACCTAATCTCATAGCCCCTGAGGGAAAGGATCTGGGGTAGCACCGAGGTATGCCAGGGTGAATTCCAAGGGAGAACTTACTGTCACTGTGGGGCTCTCAGGGCTTAGAAAAAGGCCCTCTTTTCCTTTGGAAACTTTGGCAAAATGGAAATCTGAGGTTTTCACCAAGACTATTAATGAATATTTGCAAAAGTGTCCAGTTATGGCTGGTCTGAATTGAAGAATGACCAGTTCTAGATGGGAAATTCAGCCTTTTCTCTGGTCGGCTTTGTGTCAACCTAATATTTGGAGGGTTCTATTACTTAGCAAAGGGGGAGAACTGATATTGGAGAGTTACCATATTTTTCACAGTGGGTATGGGATTTCCCTGAAGCAAACTCATATTCTGCAGTATCATTTATCCTGAGAAGTGCTGGGTGAGTTCTATGATAGGAAAAGGTGACTTAGAGGAAGGCCTTAGACTTGTGTGAGAAAGAACCTTTCTCTCCTTTCTGTGGGTAAACACGGAAGAGAGCATTCCGTGGGAATTTTCCTTCCATGGGAAGGAAAGCTGGACTTTCAAGAGTTTGACAAATAGCTGTAGCAGGGAGAGAATCTGACACCCATCAGGTAGGCTTGGGGTTCCTCAGAGAACACATATCTAGCAGGTGTTAAACTTATGCTTTGTATTGCAACTCCTTTCTGTTGTGCAAAAACTTCCAGGAAAATATTTTTTAGTTATATTCTAGAATCACTGTGGGGCATCATGAAAAATCTTTGTCTTTCTTAGAGTGACACTGTATTAAAAAATGAGTAGGATGGGGAAAGGTGACCTTTGAATGGAGGTAGGTGATATGTAGCAGAGAAGAATATGTTAAAAAATCTGGATGCAGTTACCTATTTTCACTTTTGTTGCCTGTGCTTTGGGGTCATATGCAAGAAATCATTGCCCAGAACGATGTCATGGAGCTTAAATACAGAACAGTACTGTGTTTTCTTCTAGTAGTTTTACAGTTTTAGGTCTTATGTTTAAGTCGTTAATCCGTTTTGAGTTGATTTCTTTTATATGGGGTGAGATAAGGATCCAATTTCATTCTTCTGCATGTGGGTAGCCAGTTTTCCCAACACCATTATTTATTTATTTATTTATTTATTTATTTATTTATTTATTTTTCTGAAACAGAGTCTGGCTCTGTCGCCCAGGCTGGAGTGCAGTGGCCCAATCTCGGCTCACTGCAAGCTCCGCCTCCCGGGTTCGCGCCATTCTCCTGCCTCAGCCTCCCAAGTAGCTGGGACTACAGGCGCCCGCCACCACGCCCGGCTATTTTTTGTTTTTTGTGTTTTTAGTAGAGACGAGGTTTCACCGTGTTAGCCAGGATGGTCTCGATATCCTGACCTCATGATCCGCCCGCCTCGGCCTCCCAAAGTGCTGGATTACAGGCGTGAGTCCCTGCGCCTGGCCTAATTACTATACCTTTGTAATATATTTTGAAATAAGAAAGTGTGATGCCTTCAGCTTTGTTCTTTTTACTCAAGATTGATTTTGCTATTCTGGGTCTTTTATGGTACCCTGTGAATTTTAGGATTGTTTTTTCCATTTCTTTAAAAAATGCCATTGGGATTTGGAAGGGGGGAGATGTATTATATCTGTAGATTGCTTTAGACAGAATGAACAGTTTAACAATGTTAAGTCTTTCAATACCTAAACATGGAATATCTTTCCATTTATTTGTGTTTCCTTTGATTTTTTCATCAATATTTTTAAGTTTTTAATGTACCTCTTTCACTTCTTTGGTTAAGTTTATTCCTATGTTATTCTTTTTGTTGCTTTTGTAAATAGATTGTTTCCTTGATTTTCTTTTGGAATGGTTCATTGTTAAGTGTATAGAAATGCCACTGATATTTGTATGTTGACTTTTTTGAATCTATTTCTTAGTTCTACATTTTTGTGTGTGTGTTCGTGAAGTTTTCAGGGTTTTCTACAAATATGGTCATGTTACTTTGGGAGGTGATGTATACGTCTATCACCTTGATTGTGGTGATAGTATCACAGGATTTTGCATATGCCCAAACTCATGCCATTATTCACATTAAATATGTTCAATTCTCTGTATATCAATTATGCTTCAATAAAGCTATTAAAAAACTAGAATAGGTGGCTGTGCCATTGTAATTTGGGCAATAAGAGGAAGAGTGATCTGAGATTGCTGATTTCTGGGATATAATATAATGTTCACATCTCCATTTTATGAATAAATAAACTGATGCTTATGTGTGGATAAATGATTTGTTCAAGACCACACAGCTAAAAAGTGCCAGAATCTAGGATGCTAGTCCGGGCATATCAGACCTGAATTTCTATACTCTTAAATTATATGCCACAGCCCTCAGAAATATGCCTGTCTCCTCTGGATTAGGGGCATCCCCTATGCCTAAGAGTCACTATAATTACTTGTGCCCTAAAACTCTCTAGCCTTGTTGCTGTTCAATATGCTATGAAATCCTCTATTCATATATGACTATGAGCACTTGAGATGTGGCTAGTATGAATAGAAATGTGCTCTATGTGTAATTACACATATGAGATTTCAAAGATGTAGTCCAAAAAAGGTAAACTCTCTCATAAATAATTTTTACATTGATTACATGTCAACATGATCATGTTTTGGATATATTGCATTCAATAAAACACATTATTGGTTGGGTGTGGTGGCTCATGCCTGTAATCCCAGCATTTTGGGAGACCGAGGCAGGCGGATCACGAGGTCAGGAGTTCGAGACCAGCCTGACCAACATGGTGAAACCCCGTCTCTACTAAAAATACAAAAATTAGCTGGGTGTGGTGGTGTGCGCCTGTAATCTCGGTTACTCAGGAGGCTGAGGCAGGAGAATTGCTTGAACCCGGGAGGTGGAGTTGCAGTGAGCTGAGATCACACCACTGCACTCCAGCCTGGGCAACTGAGTGAGACTCCGTCTCAAAACAAAACGAAACAAAAATATATTATTACAATTAATTTAACCTTTTTCTGATTCCTACATATTCTATTTTGCATTTGGGCCTTTCCTCCCAAATACATGAGAAAAGAAAATACATCTCCTGATGCTTTCCTTACTGTTGCTCCAGGAAAAACACACCATATGAGAGACATAAATGCTTGCTACAGAGGCCTAATCTAGGCCATGCTTGGGACAAACTCGATGCTGTAGTCACCCTCCTGAGGCTTACTTTCTCCTGGGCATCTAAACTTAAACAATTCCATCCCTCCCTAGCTCTACCCCCTCTGTGAGGCTCTTGTGAGAATGATAATATTACATAAACTGTAGGTGCTCAAACAGTGTTTATTGAATGACTGATGACAGAGGAAACAGTTCTATGTCATTTTATAGATAGCAAAAATAGAGAGGAACTTGGAGTTTTAAGGGAAAGATCCACATTACTGCTCTTCTGCTTCCTCTAGCTCCAGTGATGGTGTTGGCAGTATGTTTGGTGGAGGTGGTGCTGGTGGTGGCGAGGCAGTGGCAGAATCTCTGCTTTCTTTGGTGTTACTCTTGGTAGAAGTAGCAGTGTATGTGATCTGTCCTGGGGTCATAGTGCTGATGGTGGCAGAGTTCATAGGGGTGGCATTTGGAATGATGACAAAGTTGGTATTAGCAAAAAAGCTAGTGCTTTTGATTTGGGGGAGAACAGATAAAATATGTTTTCTTTGTATCACAGCACTAGAATTCTTGGCAGGTTTTAGCATTTCTTGGACGTCTTCATTAAGTACATTTGGTGTTCCATATTGCAGGTAGTTTTTAATCAATTTAACCACTTTTGGTCCAACACAACATTTTTTCATCTTGCATTTCTGTATCTCTTTTTCATCCACATTGCAGTGATCCCTGCATCTCCCCAAACCCATTAAACAGCGTCTCAAGCCAATAAATTCTGTATAAAAAAAGAGAAAGCCATTGAGCCAAGGTTAATAACTAGAGATGATGTTAAAACTGCTAGTGGGAGATGGATAGACTAAGAGAGAGTTTACTCATACTACATTTTAAGCCCAGTGTTTAGGAATGTTGATGAAGGCAAATGGGCAGGCTGAGAGCGTCTCTATGCCCCTCTTGAATCCAAAGTAAATTTCCTGTTTAGTCTGCCTTCCTTGAGTAACTTTAAGAAGCAAAGGGCACGTAGATGATAGAGTAATTATTTGCTTTTAGGATGGAATTTTAGACCTTCAACTTAGCATCTTAGGTACTTGTCAGACATCACTATCCCATCTCCATAATCTTGGGAAATACCAATGAGAGCCAAGTCCATCATAAAACTAATTTAAGAAAGAAGTTCAAAAGAGAATCAATAGAATTTTCAGGAGTCTTATCTTTTCACCAAACTCAGTAGCCCATGACTTCTCTCTTCTCAACAATCACTAGATCTGTGATTCCTGAAGCATGGTGTTCTATCTCTTCTAGCCTCTTTGGACACTCTATCTCTCAGAAGTCTCATTCATTATCCTAGCCTTAACCTCATATCCACCAAGGTAACTTCTGTATTGTTATCTATAATTCTAAATTTCCTGCTCGGCTTAGTACCTTATCTTTATCTGCTGAATGACTTTTCCATCCTAATGTCTCGTGTTTCTTTTTTCTGAATCAAGAAAGCTTTTCTCCCTTGTTCATCTTAATAACCCAATGATTTTCCCTAAATTACAAGAGATTTATGTAGCATCTGCTAATTTTCAAAGCATATTTGCATACATTTCCACATTGTTTTCTCATCAAACGGGAAACAGAAAAATTCTTATATTGGAATCAGCTGCATTGATTAACCCCATTATACTCATGTGAAATTGAAGTTCAAAGTGGTTAAGTGACTTTACCCAAGATGACACAGCCATACTTGCTTATGGTACTACCCTTTTCCTAGGGTCCCAAGATAAAAACATTAGAAGATAAAAACATTAGAAGCATCTTTGACACTTCCACTTTCCCTGCCCCGAAACCCTTTGCTAATTTTTTCAAATAGCTGGATGATTCTTGTATTCTGAAACAAATCTCAGTGCTTCTCCTTTCTTTTCCAAAAACAATGGTTAATCCCCTGGCTTAGCCTTTTGCTATAATGCATTCCTAGATGCCCTTATGGTAGTTTGGGGGTTTTCAGGAAGACAAAGTCTGAGAGAAGCGATAAAGGCTCTGGAAAACCTGAAAGAATTCAAGATGGAGAACACAGGCCTGTTTACTTGATCTTGAAAGGGTTTTTTTTTGAGCATGAGGGAAGAACTTCCTCCTTTCTACACCAAGCACAAACTGATAGGAAACTTTGCTTCAAGAGGTGGTTTCACAGGAAGGGGAACAACACACACTGGGGCCTGTTGGGTGGAGGGAGAGCATCAGGAAAAATAGCTAATGCATCCTGGGCTTAATACCTGGGCGATGGGTTGGTAGGTGCAGCAAATAACCATGACACACATTTACCTATGTAACAAACCGCACATCCTGCACAAGTACCCCAGGACTTTTTTTAAAAAAAAAGGGCTTTTAAGATAGAAATAGAGCTAAAAGGAGGTAGACCTGGGCTTAGTCTTAGCATGATAGACATATACAGGGCAGGAAGGCAGCATTATATTTTGGATAGTTTCTGAATAGACAAAAAATACCCTGCTTTCTCTGTAGCTTCCTGGGTGTTTCCACTGGACACAATCTGGCAGTTGGGGCCTATGAGAATGTATCAGTGCATGACTGATACAATAGGTAAGCTCTTTAGCCATCTTTTTGAACAGCTAATCTTTCAGTCTCCTCTCTTTGGGTTTCCATTGTCATGGGCAGCCAAATCCTTGGTTCCTCTCATCTACCCATCTTAAACTTGGGAATCCACATTACCTGTGTTCACCTGGTACTGTAGCATGAGGCTGGCAAAGATAGGAAAAAGGAGCTTCATGGTTGGGTGCCAGAGAGGAAGCCTTGAATCTGGGTTGATGCTCCTGAGCTCCAGCCTTTATTGGCCTCTTCGTGGCCTTATGCCATGAGCAGTGAAGTGCAGCCAAAGCAGGTTTGTATGCTGCTCGCAGTATAGTTGTGTTTTTTCTGACTCTGTTTGAAAACACCCTTTCTTGAACACCTCTATGCAACAAATTCCTTGCTCTTGATCCTGGAGGAAAACATAAGATAGGTAAGATGAGAAAGAAAGAGCAAGCCCTTTGCATGTGTCTCTCTTTTGCTTTTTTGAGATGGAGTCTCACTCTGTTGCCCAGGCTGGAGTGCAGTGGCGTGATCTCGACTCACTGCAACCTCCGCCTCCCAGGTTCAGGCAATCCTCCTGCCTCAGCCTCCCAAGTAGAGTATCTGGGACTACAGGCATGCACCACCATGCCCAGCTAACTTTTGTATTTTCAGTAGAGACGGGGTTTCACCATGTTGGCCAGGCTGGTCTCAAACTCCTGACCTCAAGTGATCCGCCCACCTTGGCCTCCCAAAGTGCTGGGGTTCCAGGCATGAGCCACCGCACCCAGTCGCATGTCTCTTTCTTAACGTTGGAGTAGGATAAGAGTTAGATATTTGATTCACTGATTGTCAGCCCAGTTATGCTAAGGTTGGCACTTAGTGCATGAGAATTAGAAGAGCTAGAGGAGAGTGAAGATTCTGCCTTGTTTGTACTGGTATGTCCAGTGGCCAGCATGGGTATTGGATCAACATACAAAGTCAGTACGTTTGTTAAACAAGTTCGTGGGAGACAGCTCTTGGCACATCTTTAACTTTTGAGTTTACAATGATTCCCACATCCTTTTAAAGTAGCAACTAAAAAAAAACTTTTTTAACTTCGCGGGTATATGTGCAGGATGTGCTGGTTTGTTACATAGGTAATGTGTGTCATGGGGGTTGGTTGTATAGATTATTTCATCACCCAGCTATTAAGCCTAGTGTCCATTAGTTATTTTTCCTCATCCTCTCCCTCCTCCCACCTTCCACTCTCCAGTAAGCTCCAGTGTGTGTTGTTCCCCTCTGTGTGTCCATGTGTTCTCATCATTTTGCTCCCACCTATAAGTGAGAACATGCAGTATTTGGTTTTCTGTTTCTGCCTTCATTTGCTAAGGATAATGGCCTCCAGCTCCATCCATGTCCCTGCAAAGGACACGATCTCATTCTTTTTTATGGCTGCATAGTATTCCGTGGTATATATGTACCACATTTTCTTTATCCATTCTTTATCCAAATGGCCAAATGATGGGCATTTGGGTTGATTCTATGTCTTTGTTATTGTGAATAGCGCTGCAGTGAACATATGCATGCATGTGTCTTTATAATAGAACCATTTATATTCCTTTGGGCATATACCCAGTAATAGGATTGCTAGGTCAAATGGTATTTCTGACTTTAGGTTTTTGAGGGATTGCCACACTATCTTCCACAATGGTTGAAATAATTAAAAGCAGCAATTTTTATAGTGTACTGCTCAGATTCCTTGGTCGTAGCTGATTGATCCAGGTGTAACAATAGAACCAAGCCTACCAATCAGATGCTTTCCCCTGCTAATTTGGGACATTTCCTAAGAAACTCAGATATTGAAGCTCATTGGCTCTGAATATTATTAATTGTTCAAGTTTCAAGAGTTTCCCTGGTTCCTCGCCTTCCTGAAATTCATGTCTTCTTAGGATTTCATTAGCTACTATAGTATCCAATGACTCCTCAGTTTTGTTTAAATTAACTGTTATTTTTTAAAACAATAAAAGCAAATCTTATGAACTTTCACTTTATGAAATGTATATTTTACTTCTATGAACAAAAATAATCAAGCTTAGGCATATTTACTTACTACTTGTCAATATCAAGAGATGGAATTAACAGCCCTTTGGAATCAGTTAATCCTGAATATCGCATATTAATTGGTTTCTGGTGTTTTAAGATGCATTGAAATAACATTATTCACCTCATTGTGTCTTGCTAGTCCCAAAGCAATAAGAATATGGAAAGTACTGGTACAAAGAGAAGCACAGTTATTATGGAACAAAAAGTTGAGTTAATAAGAATTGGAAAGTTATGAAAAATTAAGTATGTTGCATGTATATATGGAATGAATCTATCAACAGTGTAGCATAATTTTGTAAAAAGACAAATTATTCACATGTGCAAAGTGTTGCATTTATGTGTATCAGTTGGGAAATGAAAAACACTAGCTATTTTCAACAGAAATATTTTTAATACTCAGAATTATGTGCTTATAAACTCTCTACAGAAGCTGACTGTGGGCTTGGTCTCCCAGAATGACTTCCAGAACATTCCAACAAACTGGCCCAGCAGAGAATCTGCTAGTTCTTTCATAGTCAGGAAAGTAGGGTGACAGGATCCCATGATTAGACATGCTGGACTTCAAGAACACACCACGGTAGCTGTAATATAAGAGCAAGGATATTTTTCTGCTGCTTCTACAACTGTCTGTTGAAACCCATAGAGCTAGGGATCAGACATTGGAATGTAGCAGAAAAACTCAACTGAGTTTAAAGATTTAAGATTTAATTTCCCTAACAATTTAGAACTGTCAAATTTTCAATTTCTTCTTGGGTCACATCAAGTAATGTTTATTTCTTCTAAATTTCATTTTTGGCATAAGGTCACTCACAATATGTCCTTTGATCTCTTTACTATCTATAGAGTTTGTAGTGATGGCTACGTGTTTTATTCTTCATATGGGTAATGTGTTTTCAATTTTTTCTTTGTTATTCCTATAGTGAATTAATTAATTGGTCTTTTCAAAATCAGCTTTTGGTTTTGTTGATTCTATGTTTGATTTTTATTTAATTATATTTTATTTTAAATATTATGAAAATTAAAAAATATTTAATTATTTTCTCCTCTCAGCTTTATCTTCCTTTCTTTGAACTTCTTTGAATAAAATTTCATTTTATTCTGTTATTGTTTTCTAACTTATTATTTGTGTTGTTATCTCATACATTTTCAGCTTTTCTTCAGTATAACCAAGTGGGTAAGACTCTAATTTTCCCTTTATATGCAGCTTTAGCTGGACTTCATAAGTTTTTATTTGCAGTGTTTTGTTATCATAATCATTCACTTAAAAATAAACACTTCAATTTCCACTGTGTCATCTTTTCTGACATATGAATTAGTTTGAACCTTGCTATTCACAGTGTGGTGGAAAGACCAGAAGCATCAACACTTCCGGAGAGCTTGTCAGAAATGCAGGATTTCAATTCATCTCAGAATGAGTCAATCAAAATCTGCGTATTAGGAAGATCCTCAGGTGATTTGTATGTACTTTAATATCTGAGAAACATTGGTTGAGAAATGTGTTTCTTATCTGAGCATGTGGGGACATTTTAGTTATGAGGGAACTTCAAACAGTTTGTGGAAGATGACATTAAAATATAAAAATATAAAGATATAAACTTTATTTCTCAACATAAGCTCCATCAAGTTCAAGACACTTTTGTAAGCAATGGTACCAGCCACTTAGTCTATCCCTGAAGGACTGAGCTTCCTGGGAATTTAACCACATCAGTGTTCTTTTACATTATTAACTGAAGAAAAATTGGTGTCCTTTAAAGATTTTTTTTTAAGATTAGGAGATAAAAAGAAGTCAAAAGGAGCCATGTCAGGATGGCAATGTGGATGCCTAATGACTTTCCATCAAAACGCTTGAAAAATTGCCCTTGTTTGACTAGGGGAATGAGCAGGAGCATTGTCATGTTGGAGAAGGACTCTCTGGTGAAGTTTTCCTGGGTATTTTTCAGCTAAAGCTTTGGCTAACTTTCTCAAAACACTCTCATAATAAGCAGATGTTATTGTTCTTTGGCCCTCCAGAAAGTCAACAAGCAAAATGCCTTGTGCACCCCCAAAAATTGTTGACATGACTTTTGTTCTTAACTGGTCAGCTTTTGCTTGGACTGGATCACTTCCATCTCTTTGCTTTGATTTTGCTTTGTCTTCAGGGTCATACTGGTAAAGCCAGATTCCAACTTTTGTTACAGTGCTTTGAATAAATGCTTCAGGATCTTGATCCCACTTGTTTAAAGTTTCATTGAAAGCTGTGCTCTTGTTTGTAGCTGATTTTGGCACAATGGTTTTGGCGCCCATCAAGTGGAAAGTTTGTTCTTCTTTAATTTTTTAGTCAGATTTCCATTAACTGAACCAACTGAGAAGTCTATGATGTTGACAATTGTTTTTACTGTTAATTATCAGTCCTTTTCAACTGGGGCATGAACAAGATTAATTTTTTCCTCCCAAACTGATGTGGGTGGTCTGCTGCTGGTGGCTTCATCTTCAATATTATCTCATCCCTTATTAAAATGAGTTATCCATTTGCAAACTGCTGACTTCCTTGGGGCATCGTCCCATAGACTTTTTGTAAAGCATCAATGATTTCATCATTCTTCTACCCAAGCTTCACTGTACATTTGATGTTTGTTCTTGCTTCAATTTTAGCAGAATTCATGTTGCTCTGATAGGGGCTCTTTTCAGACTGATGTCTTATCTTTTTTAGTGTCTGAAACTAGATCTTGTTCAAACATTTTATAACCAGTTAGTATTAGTTTATTTTGGTGCAAAACATTTTGAAATTCTTACATGATTTTTTTCATAATATACATTTTCTTGAACTTTTTGTTATTGATTTCTAAATAATTTCTATATTGGGGAAGGGAATGACATATGGCATAATTTTTGATACTGAGACTGCTTTATTGATCATTTTTTCTACTTTTTTGATATACACATTTATTGCTATAAAATTCCCTCTTAGTACTGCTTTTGCTGTATCCCATAGGTTTTGGAATGTTGTATTTCCATTTTCATTTGTTTCAAGAAATTTTAAAATTTCTGTCTTAATTTCTTCAATGACCCAACGGTCATTCAGGATTATGTTTTTTAATTTCCATGTGTTTGTATAGTGTTCAAAGTTCCTCTTGTTATTGATTTCTACTTTTATTCCACTGTGGTCATAAAAGATACTTGATATGGTTTTAATTATTTAGATTCTTTTGAGACCTGTTTTGTGGCCTAACAAGTGGTTTATCTTTGAGAATGTTCATATGGTGAGGAAAATAATGTGTATTCCATGGCTGTTGGATGAAATGTTCTATAAATGTCTGTTAGGTCCATTTGGTTTATAGTGCAGACTAAGTCTGATATTTCTTTGTGGATTTTATGTCTTGATGATCTGTCCAATGCTGAAAGTGGGGTGTTAGTGTCCCTAACTATTATTGTTTTGGGGTCTACCTCTCTCTTTAGAACTAATAATTTTTGCTTTATATATCTGTGTTCCCTAGTGTTGGGTGCATATATATTTATAATTGTTATATCCTCTTGCAAAAATTGACTCCTTTATTATTAAACAACGACCTTCGTCTCTTTTTACAGTTTTGTCTTGAAAGATATTTTTATCTGATATAAGTATAATAACTTCTTTTTTGGTTTCTATTTGCATAGAATTTCTTTTTTCATTCCTTTATATTCAGTCTATGAGTTTCTTTATAGGTGAAGTGAGTTTCTCATAGGCAGCATGTAGTTGGGTCTTGCTCTTTTATCCATTCAACCACTCTATGTCTTTTGATTGGAGACTTCAGTCCATTTACATTCAATGTTCTTATTAATAGATAAGGACTTACAACTGCCATTTAAAAATTTATCTTCTGGTTGCTTCATCGGTCCTCTTTTTCCTTCCTTCCTTCCTTCCTTCCTTCCTTCCTTCCTTCCTTCCTTCCTTCCCTCCTTCCTTCCTTCCCTCCCTTCCTCCCTCCTTCCCTCCCTTTCCTCCCTCCCTCCTCTCTCCCTCCTTTTCTCCTCTCTCCCTCCTTTTCTCCTCTCTCCTTCCCTCCCTCCCTCACTCCTTCCCTCCCTCCCTCACTCCTTCCCTCCTTTCCTCCTTCCCTCCATTCCCTCCCTTCCCTCCCTTCCTTCCCTTCCCTGCTCCCTCCCTCCCTCCCTCCCTTCCTTCCATCTTTCTTTGTGTAAAGTTGACTTTGTGTGGTAGTATGTTTTAATTTCTTGCATATTTGTTACAGGTTTTTGTTTTGTACTTACCATGAAGCTTGCAAATAACATCTTATAACCACTTATTTTAAACTGATGACAACTTAATCCTGATTAAAAAGAAAAGAAAAACAGACTAACAAGCAAAGAGACAACCACTCTACACTCTACACTCTTTTTGATTTTTATTGTCTCTGTATCTTTTTATACAATCTCTTAAAAAGTTGTTGTCATTATTATTTTTGATTGGTTTGTCTTTTAGTCTTTCTACTAAAGATATGAACGGTTCATATGCCAGAATTACAGTGTTAGGGTATTTGTATTTGTCTGTGTACTTACTATCACCAGTGAGTTTATACCTTCAGACGATTTCTTGTTGTTAGTTAATGTCCTTTTATTTCAGGTTGGAGAACTCCCATGGGCATTTCTTGTAAGACAGATCTGGTATTGATGAAATTCCTCAGCTTTTGTTTGTCTGGGAGACTATTTTTCCTTCATGTTTAGAGGATAATTTTGCTGGAGATAATATTCTAGGTTGAAGGTTGGTTTTCCTTCAGCAGTTTTCATATGTTTTCCCACTCCCTCCTGGCCTGTAAAGTTGCTGTTGAAAAGTCTGCTGCTAGATGTATTGGAGTTCCTTTATATGTTATTTGCCTCTTTTCTCTTGGTGCTTTTAGGATCCTTTCTTTATCTTTGATCTTTGAAAGTTTGATTATTATAAGCCTTGAGGTAGTCTTATTTGGGTTGAATCTGCTTGGTGTTTTTTGACCTTTTTGTACCTGGATGTTTATATCTTTCTTGAGGTTTGGAAGGTTGTTTGTTTTTATTTCTCTGACCTTTCTACCCTGATCTCTCAAAATGTTCCATGTGCTGAGGAAAAGATCTCTCTATTTACCCTTTTCTCTCCCTCTACATCCTCTTTAAGACCAATAACTCTTGGATTTACCCTTTTGAGACTATTTTCTACATTTTGTAGGCATACTTTATTCTTTTTTAATTCTTTTTTTGGCTTCGTGTATATTTGGATAGCCAGTTCTCACCAGTTCCTTCTGCTTGATCAATTCTGCCGTTGAAAGACTCTTATGCATTTTTCACTTTGACAATCAAACTTTTCAGTGCCAGAATTTCTGCTTGATTTTTTAGAAATTACTTCAATTTCTTTGTGAAACTTCTCTGATGTAATTCTGAATTCTTTCTCTGTGTTGTCTTGAAGTTTGTTGAGCTTCATCAAGACAGCTATTTTGAATTATTTGTCTAAAAAGTCACATATCTCCATCATTCTCAGATTGGTCACTGATGCCTTATTTAGTTCATTTGATGAGGTCATATTTCCCTGGATGTTCTTAACTCTTGAAGATGGTTGTTGATGTCTGGGCATTGAAGAGTTAGATACATATTGTAGCCTTCACAATCTGGGCTTGTTTGCACCCATCCTTCTTGGGAAGGCTTTTCAGGTATTTGAAGGAGATTGAGTGTTGTGATTTGAGCCTGTGATTATTGAAACTATATCAGCACTAGAGGGTGCCCTAAGCTCAGAAACACTGCAACTCTCGCTGAGTCCTAGAGGAACCACCTTAGTGGGCTGGGGTTTAAATTTGGCCAAATTCCCTGGGTTACCAGGCAGAGTTTCTTCTTCTCTTCCCTCATTTACCCCCAAACAAAAGGAGTCTCTCTCTCTGTGCCAGGCTGCTTGGAGTTGGGGGAAGGGCAAGTCCAGTGGCCACCACAGCTGGCACCATGCTGGGTAACTTTTGATACTTTACTTTACTGTGGCTGAGCTGGTACCCAAGTTGCAAGGCAAAGCCCTCTGTACTCTTCCCTCTTCTTCCCCCAAGTGGAAGGAGTCTATCCCCAAGCTGCATTGCCTAGAGTTGGGGGAGAGGTGACATAGGCAATCCTTAGCCACCACAGCTGGTTTTGCACAGGTTGTGAGCACCCCAAGTTCACTGCTGCTGAGAAAGGTCCACACTGTTGCTTACCTGCCCCTTCCAGCTCTAATTCTATTGCTTTGGGGTAGAGATATTAGACGTTGTTTCCAGGATTAGATGTCTGGGATATCAGATGGAAACTGATTATGTACATTATGATGTATACAGTGTTCAAATAATTTCAGAGACAAGCAGCAATGTTTTTAATTATAGGCATCTATTTCTCTTTAATTATTGTAGCAGATATCCTTGCAAGTTTGCTCTTTCATCCCAGCATTTTTGAATGAATAGCATTCCTGCAAAAAGGAAGGAGAGAAAATTGGGTGTAGATTAGTGTCTTAAGATGAAGACAGAAGTCACTGAAGTGTGAAAGGGAGAGAAGGGAAAAGCTGCTGTCCAGAATTTCTAGTCTTTTGGAATATTGATGGAAGCCCTGGGGAAAATCAAAGAGATTGTACACACTTGCCCCCATTCCATATCCAAGACTAGAACCCCAAGTTATTCAGCCCCTCTTGTCCCAGCATCAACCTCCCTATATATAGGGAGTTGATTAAAGAGCATTTCTTGATTAAGAAGGGATTTGGACTCCAGATTCTCCCTGTAGATACTCTCAAGGTGATTCTGTCTCATTCCCGTGACTGGCAGGAGGTGATAATAAATCAGCCTTCTAAATAAGTGAAAAAAAAAAATACAGCCGAGTGCAGTGGCTCATGCCTGTAATCCCAGCACTTTGGGAGGCCAAGATGGGTGGATCACCTGAGGTCAGGAGTTCGAGACCAGCCTGGCCAACATGATGAAACCCGTCTCTACTAAAAATACAAAAAATTAGCTGGGCATGGTGGTGGGCGCCTGTAATCCCAGCTACTTGGGAGGCTGAAGCAGGAGAATCACTTGAACCAAGGAGGTGGAGGTTGCAGTGAGCCGAGATGGTGCCATTGCACTTCAGCCTGGGCAACAAGAGTGAAACTCTATCTCAAAAAAAACAAACAAACAAACAAAAAAAAAACAGGCAACAGGATTTTTGGATTTTTGCATTTCAAGAGTTCAGCATTTTGTTTTACTTTATGCAGTTTTGTCTTCTACCTCTTGCAATCTTTGATCATACTGGTGTTTCTTTTTTCTCTTAAGGATAATTTCATTTCATTTTTTAGGATATGTTTTCCCTTTGCATCTCCCTCTCTTGTAGGCATTCTTCAAATTTTAGTCTCCTCAGAATGTTATCTTACAGTGATTACCTGTTATTGCTCAACATTATTAATTTTTCAGTTCATTCAGCAGATATCTATTGAACATTAGATACTATGATCAATACTATATGTCAACTGCTGTCTATGTACTGAGGATATTGCAGTAAATAAAACATATAGAAATTCTTGACTTAATAGAGTTACTTTGTATCTTCCCTCTATAAGAATGAGCGGTGCATCTCTATTGATAAACACAGTTTCCTCAGCTTCAGTCTTGTAATT